>NC_000005.10:176814443-176964889 GCF_000001405.40 Homo sapiens | reverse complement strand
TGGTGTCAGTAGCCCAGTCAGCTGTGGCTTGATGGAGGTTACTTGTCAAATTGGCTGTAAGCCCACTGCTAATGGGAATGGGAGGGGTGAGGGACAGTCCTCAGTGAAAGCAGACAAGGCAGACAACCTAGTAAGCATATAGACATTAACTTTAATAAAAAAATCACTTGGAGATGTTAAAAAATGCTGAAAAGTTTAAAGAATATTACCTATTTTTTGTATGGTTCAGATCATATTATTTTTGTATCTTTAATATCATGTAGACATTTTCTCATGTTAAATTATATATTTCACTTTTAATGGCTATATTATATTCCAGTTTATGAATTTACCATAATATTTTAAACATTTTTCTATTGCTGGATATTTCAGTTGTGATATCTTTCTATATGAAACTTTTCTTTATTCCTCATCAGTGTACTTAGTCATGAGCCATAAAAATGATGGGTTAAAGAGTTATGAACATAAAGACTTGATATTTATTGCCAAATTGCTTGTCAGAAAGGCTGTTACAATTTGTATTCTCTCCATTTGGCAATGTATGAGAATATCTAGTTCACTGAAGCCTTGCCAACAAATAATTGTACCTTTAAAAAACAAACTTCAACTAATTTTATAGGCAAATAATGTAGGTCCTGTGATTGTAGTTTTACCTCTCAATCTTTTGCTTTCAGGAAATGTGGGTAGAAAGAATTCGTTTGTTAAACATTTTCTATTGAACACAGCTTTGGTGGAGCTGCCTGTATTTGAGACTTCTTGGTTGATAGAGATAGCAAGAGAGTCTCAAAAATAGGGACTCAGAGAAACATTCACTTTGGGGCACATAACTTAGTCTATATTAAGGTTATTAAAGCTTTAGAATCAGATGATAACTGGTTTTTGGCATCACTGAGACAAGATAAAGTTGCTAATGAAGGCCTGTAGATCACCTTGAGAGCATTATGACAAGGAGTTGGAAGGGGTAGTATGTTAATGTGGTTACTACTTTTCAGAATCTGATACTTAATTTTTCAGTCCGGATATTGGAATTTTTTTTTTTTTATCAGAAATGACCAGATTGTGTGGGGTTGTGAGAACTGACTTTGATTTGCCAAACTTCACGCTGATGTATGTATACAAAATGACAGTTTATTTATTTATTATGGAATAGAGACATTTTCAGTGACCAGAATACTCAGACCTGTATCTACTGTCTTCTAGAATGACAGTATCTGGAGGGTTGAAATAATCAGAAAATGGAATTTTTAAGGGATGGTTCAACTAGTCTGTGGAAAAACCTAATAAACTACCAGTGTCACACAATAGAGGACATTTCTGTGATGACCAGATGATTTATCTATTCATTTTCACTTTTTTTTTTTTTTTTTTAAAGATGGAGTTTCACTCTGTCACCCAGGCTGGAGTGCAGTGACACGATCTCAGCTCACTGCAACCTCCACCTCCCGGGTTCAAGTGATTCTCCTGCTTCAGCCTCCTGAGTAGCTGGGGTCACAGGCATGCACCACCATGCCTGGCTAATTTTTGTATTTTTTGTAGAGATGGGGTTTCACGATGTTGGCCAGTCTGGTCTTGAACTGCTGGCCTCAAGGCATCCGCCCCCCTTGGCCTCCCAAAGTTCTGGGGTTACAGATGTGAGCCACTCTGCCCAGCCCCATTTTCACTTTTAAGTATTAAAAATACCCTTTGATAATAATTCTTTGAATTTTTTTTTTTTTTTTTTTTTTTTTTTTTTAATTTATTTTTTTATTGATAATTCTTGGGTGTTTCTCACAGAGGGGGATTTGGCAGGGTCATGGGACAATAGTGGAGGGAAGGTCAGCAGATAAACAAGTGAACAAAGGTCTCTGGTTTTCCTAGGCAGAGGACCCTGCGGCCTTCCGCAGTGTTTGTGTCCCTGATTACTTGAGATTAGGGATTGGTGATGACTCTTAACGAGCATGCTGCCTTCAAGCATCTGTTTAACAAAGCACATCTTGCACCGCCCTTAATCCATTTAACCCTGAGTGGACACAGCACATGTTTCAGAGAGCACAGGGTTGGGGGTAAGGTCACAGATCAACAGGATCCCAAGGCAGAGGAATTTTTCTTAGTGCAGAACAAAATGAAAAGTCTCCCATGTCTACTTCTTTCTACACAGACACGGCAACCATCCGATTTCTCAATCTTTTCCCCACCTTTCCCGCCTTTCTATTCCACAAAGCCGCCATTGTCATCCTGGCCCGTTCTCAATGAGCTGTTGGGCACACCTCCCAGACGGGGTGGTGGCCGGGCAGAGGGGCTCCTCACTTCCCAGTAGGGGCGGCCGGGCAGAGGCGCCCCTCACCTCCTGGGCGGGGCGGCTGGCCGGGCGGGGGGCTGACCCCCCCCACCTCCCTCCCGGACGGGGCGGCTGGCCGGTCGGGGGGCTGACCCCCCACCTCCCTCCCGGACGGGGCGGCTGGCCAGGCAGAGGGGCTCCTCACTTCCCAGTAGGGGCGGCCGGGCAGAGGCGCCCCTCACCTCCCGGACGGGGCGGCTGGCCGGGCAGCGGGGCTGACCCCCCCCACCTCCCTCCCGGACGGGGCGGCTGGCCGGGCGGGGGGCTGACCCCCCCACCTCCCTCGCGGACGGGGCGGCTGGCCGGGCAGAGGGGCTCCTCACTTCCCAGTAGGGGCGGCCGGGCAGAGGCGCCCCTCACCTCCCGGACGGGGCGGCTGGCCGGGCAGGGGGGCTGACCCCCCCCACCTCCCTCCCGGACGGGGCGGCTGGCCGGGCGGGGGGCTGACCCCCCCACCTCCCTCGCGGACGGGGCAGCTGGCCGGGCAGAGGGGCTCCTCACTTCCCAGTAGGGGCGGCCGGGCAGAGGCGCCCCTCACCTCCCGGACGGGGCGGCTGGCCGGGCAGGGGGGCTGACCCCCCCACCTCCCTCCCGGACGGGGCGGCTGGCCGGGCGGGGGGCCGACACCCCCACCTCCCTCCCGGACGGGGCGGCTGGCCGGGCGGGGGGCCGATCCCCCCACCTCCCTCCCGGACGGGGCGGCTGGCCGGGCAGAGGGGCTCCTCACTTCCCAGTAGGGGCGGCCGGGCAGAGGCGCCCCTCACCTCCCAGACGGGGCGGCTGGCCGGGCGGAGGGCTGACCCCCCCACCTCCCTCCCGGACGGGGCGGCTGGCCGGGCAGAGGGGCTCCTCACTTCCCAGTAGGGGCGGCCGGGCAGAGGCGCCCCTCACCTCCCGGACCGGGCGGCTGGCCGGGCGGGGGGCTGACCCCCCCACCTCCCTCCCGGATGGCACGGCTGGCCGGGCGGGGGGCTGACCCCCCACCTCCCTCCCGGATGGGGCGGCTGGCCGGGCGGGGGGCTGACCCCCCCTCACCTCCCTCCCGGACGGGGTGGCTGCCGGGCGGAGATGCTCCTCACTTCCCAGATGGGGTGGCTGCTGGGCGGAGAGGCTCCTCACTTCTCAGACGGGGCAGCTGCCGGGCGGGGGGGCTCCTCACTTCTCAGACGGGGTGGTTGCCAGGCAGAGGGTCTCCTCACTTCTCAGACGGGGCGGCCGGGCAGAGACGCTCCTCACCTCCCAGACGGGGTCTCGGCCGGGCAGAGGCGCTCCTCACATCCCAGATGGGGCGGTGGGGCAGAGGCGCTCCCCACATCTCAGACGATGGGCGGCCGGGCAGAGACGCTCCTCACTTCCTAGATGTGATGGCGGCTGGGAAGAGGCGCTCCTCACTTCCTAGATGGGATGGCGGCCGGGCGGAGACGCTCCTCACTTCCCAGACTGGGCAGCCGAGCAGAGGGGCTCCTCACATCCCAGACGATGGGCGGCCAGGCAGAGACACTCCTCACTTCCCAGACGGGGTGGCGGCCGGGCAGAGGCTGCAATCTCGGCACTTTGGGAGGCCAAGGCAGGCGGCTGGGAGGTGGAGGTTGTAGTGAGCCGAGATCACGCCACTGCACTCCAGCCTGGGCACCATTGAGCACTGAGTGAACGAGACTCCGTCTGCAATCCCGGCACCTCGGGAGGCCGAGGTTGGCGGATCACTCGCGGTTAGGGGCTGGAGACCGGCCCGGCCAACACAGCGAAACCCCGTCTCCACCAAAACCAGTCAGGCGTGGCGGCGCGTGCCTGCAATCGCAGGCACTCGGCAGGCTGAGGCAGGAGAATCAGGCAGGGAGGTTGCAGTGAGCCGAGATGGCAGCAGTACAGTCCAGCTTCGGCTCCGCATGAGAGGGAGACCGTGGGGAGACGGAGACGGAGACGGAGACGGAGACGGAGACGGAGGGGGAGGGGGAGGGGGAGAGGGAGAGAGGGCTGAATTTTTTTTTTTTTTTAAGATTCAATGCAAACCATCCCTTCCTTATTAACATATTATTTCTCCAGGAAGAAGATGTCTTGATTAGGCCATAGCTTCCTTAAATTTTTATTTCTGCCATGCTTTCATGTTCACCTTGATTACATTTGGGTAGTCTAAATTTTATTTGCTTATTTTGCTATCCTGTGTTCATATTCTGGAAGAACCTCACTTTATGTTCAGATTACTGCCATTGAGGTATAAATTTCTAAATTAAAATAATGTATTGAAATGAAGACGTTCTTGGGATTCTACATTGAAATGATTAGGAAGAGGATCATCTGAGTAAGCAATATAATAGTTTTTAGCGTGTGGATTTTAGAGTCAGGCAAGTCTCAGCGCTACGATTTTGACCAACTATATGATTTAGGGCAAATTATTTAACCTCTCGAAGTTTCACTTATTTTTAAAATAATTTAATGGTTTTTGCTTCTTAAGTTGCTTGTGAGAATTAAAGGAGATAAGGAATGTAAAGTGATTAGCACAGGCCTGGCACTGAATAGAAGCACAATAATTTTGTTTGTTTGAGACAGAGTTTTCACTCTTGTCATCCAGGCTGGAGTGCAATAGCACGATCTTGGCTCACTGCAACCTCTACCTTTTGGGTTCAAGCGATTCTCCTGTCTCAGCCTCCCGAGTAGCTGGCATTAGAGGCGTGAGCCACCATGCCCGGCTAATTTTGTATTTTTAGTAGAGACGGGATTTCTCCATGTTGGTCAGGCTGGTCTTGAACTCCCGACCTCAGGTGATCCGCCCACCTTGGCCTCCCAAAGTGCTGGGATTACAGGCGTGAGCCACCGCGCCTGGCCAAAGCACAATAATTTTTTTTTTTTTTTTTTTTTTGAGACGGAGTCTCGCTCTGTCGCCCAGGCTGGAGTGCAGTGGCGGGATCTCGGCTCACTGCAAGCTCCGCCTCCCGGGTTCACGCCATTCTCCTGCCTCAGCCTCCCAAGTAGCTGGGACTACAGGCGCCTGCCACTACGCCCGGCTAATTTTTTGTATTTTTAGTAGAGACGGGGTTTCACCGTTTTAGCTGGGATGGTCTCGATCTCCTGACCTCGTGATCTGCCTGCCTCGGCCTCCCAAAGTGCTGGGATTACAGGCGTGAGCCACCGCGCCCGGCCAATAATTTTTTTAAACAATTACACTGAGAAGGTTTGAGATATGCTTTAGCCTAAGGCAGAGATGGAGGTGCCTTATAACTAACTTACTAGTGCTTTGATTGCATCTAAAGACCAAGGCTAGTCATTATAAAATTCTGTTAAATGGACACTAGGTGTCAGCATTCTCTTTCTCTTTCTTTCTCTTTCTGAGAGTTCAATAAAAACCTTGTCACCCCTGAGTTCAAAGGAAGAGACAGGTTAAGTATTTATTGCTGTTGTATTTTAGTCCTTTGGTAGTTTGGTTAAGTCTTGTTTTTCATAATGACTATATTCCCTATTATTGTACAACTTTCCTTTTGACTGAAAACTCAACTATTCCTGATTTTTAAATGTATTTCATCATTTACCTGAATGGTAGCGAGATTCATAAAGAGATGCCTAACTTGTTTAGGTTATTCATATCTTATTAGGAAACCTTGAAAACTTCAGCTGGTAGCTTTATGTCTAGTGGAAGAAGCCTCACAGCCCAGGCACTTCCTCAGAAGTCTGCCTAAGGCAGCAGTAGCTGCTTTTTCTGTGATCTTCTGTGCATGTATGTTTAATGAGTTGGTATTTGCGTCAACTCTACCATTAATCAATGAAAATAATTTTTGAATCAATGAAAATAATCTTTCCTTATGTAGTCCCTATTCATTACATTTCTGAAAAGATAATCCTGTAGCCAGATATAAAAACCATAGTGGCAGATTTGTAGCAAAAAGAATCTTTGTAACCTTCCCTTTAGATGTCCTGTGTTATGGCTTGGTTTTTCTCAAAGATCATAGATTGCAGTGTTTATCTCAACTCAGTATTTCCTTTGAAAATTGAACTTTTCTCTATATTTTCCTTTCCCCCATGCAAACTTTTTGATTGTTTTTCTGAAATCATAATTCATTTGACTTACCAGTTAATATTGATACAGGTCTTGCATGTTATGAAGTGCATTGTGTACATTATCTTGTTTAATTTTCACAACACTCTGTGAGGCAATTGTTAATACCCATTTTAAGATGAGGAAAGAGATTCAGATGTCATTTACCCAATCACAAATTTAGTAAGTGATTTAGTTCTGATTTAAATACCAGTCTTCTGACTTTACAGGATGTGCTTGTTTTATTGACACTTACTGGCTTATGGAAAATATTTTCTTCTTATTGTTAATTGTTGAGGGAGAACATTGAACAATTAAATTTTTTTAAAAAAGGAAGAGAAGCCAGTTCACCTGTGCCTGTATATTTAAGATACTACGTATTTCTTTGCAGTCTTCCCAAGGGATTGTTGAAGAAACTTCTGAAGAGGGAAACTCTGTACCTGCTTCACAAAGGTGAGAGATTATATGTTGCTATGCATTCTCCTCTGATGGTTGCCAGCATAAGGGAGATGAACCACATGAGTGAGACTGTACGTGGACAGCTTGCCAGAGAACTTTTAGCTCTTTTATAAGTGAAGACTAGGAGAAATTTTATTAGTATCTCTAAGTTCTCAGATGTGCATCTCATAGAAGCCCAGAATATTAAGAGCTGGAAGAGATCCTAGAGGTCATCTTGTCCAGGCCAGCTATCTTGGCATAAATCTCATTTACATTATTTCTGAAAAGCGGTCACATCCTGCAATTCTCTTAACTAATTACACTAGTTTTCTATGCCAATTTGAAGGCTCTAGACTGATTTCTTTATAGTCCTTCTATTCTTAGCCCCTTTCTCTCTTTTCCCCAACTCTGCTTATGCTTATTTTATCTGTATATCTAAACCTTATACATCTTTTAAATTTACTCTTGAGACTTAACATCCTCTTCAAAGTCTTCATATTATTCAGGCCACACAGGACCTGTGTCACTCTCACTGTCTGTCCTGTGCCACTTTTAATCCGTTTGTGCCTCCTATCTCCTGTAAAGGATGGTATTTGCATTACCTCCTCCATTGTTCTTGCTGATTGATTGATGGGCTTACCTTCTAAGTCTTCTTACTTTAATAATAGATAGCAGTTGATTAATTATAAACTGCACTATTAACTGGATCATGCTTCCAGTTACTTTCCACTTGCCCTTTTTATCTAGTAGTTGAGTTTTGAGACTTTCTCAAGAGCTTAGTTTTGAACTGCATGACTGTTCTCCCATATGAGAGTTGAAGCCCACTTGCCATTTGCTGTAGTCAAGGTGGTGGTCTTTCTTAGGCTTCTGGTTGATAGTACTTGGTATTCCTTCCTGGGCTAAAGAATATGGCTTTGGTTTGATTTTCCTGCTGTTAAGACAGTTTTGGAAGTGGTTTTAACAGAGTATGCCTTTACTCCCTATAGGCCTCTCTGCTTTATTGTGGTGAGCCTTGTGCAGAGCAGATGTAGGTTTTAATAAATGATTATACACTTTGTCACCAGGAGAGAGTTGGAATCGCAGGCAATGTGGTTTGACTTCAAATTGATTAGCCCATTTTATAAATGTCAGAAAATTGTTTTGTGATGGACCCTTTGAATAGAGCACTAATGTTACATGCAGAGTAAACTGTCTGGCTGGGGTTTATAACAAATGCTATGAGATGTTTTATTTAGAGATAAATCACTTGTGGTTTTCTATCAGGATTTAGTTATTTATCATGAGTTCAGTTGTAGCTATTCTGTCTTCTCTGTGGTTCTTGGTTGATGTGAGGATTTTTGTTTTCAAGCATCCTCTTGCATACTTGATCAAACTAATCGTAAAGCCCTGTGAAGCATGAGGGGGCTAGCTCAGATGCTCAGATCAGCCATGTATTCCTATGTCAGGAAGAGATTGCACTCCATGAGCAGTCAGGGAAAACCAGAAGGTTGGATGAAGGAAGCCATTCATAATTAAGTTTTTGTTAGAAAAGAGATTCAATTTATGTGGGCAGATTTTTGCTGTAGGGCAGTTTGGAATTGTTTTTTATTTTTGTTGCATGGAAAGCAACATCTTGAGATAAAGAGGAGATTTAACTGCAAAAGGAGGAGAAAGTGTGTTGTCAGAAGAATCTCTGTGTCTTCTCTTGTCAGTTTACAAATCTCTAGCCTTCAGAAGGCTGAGATGGAGGCTATAAAACACCTTTGACATCCTTATATTGGAGTGGAGTTTTTGCCTTCTCTGATATTCACAGACAGTTCTCACCCTTCAACCTTCCTTTGTGAAAACTCCAAAAGGGAATTTGTTTTCATTCAGTGATTTCACTGGAACTGAAGTTGTAAGCATATTTATTTTCCATATTTCTGGTCTGGAGTTTTCAGTACTGATTCCTTGCTTTCCTATTGTGCTTTTGTGGTATTAGGCAGCAAGTATCTGTGATTACCTGTGGCTTTGTGAGTGACTCACCATTGCTTTTGGCTCTATGTTCTGATTTATTTTACTGGGAATTCATTTGGGATTTGGTTCTCTTTCAGTGTTGCTGCTTTGACCAGTAAGAGAAGCTTAGTCCTTATGCCAGAGAGTTCTGCAGAAGAAATCACTGTTTGTCCTGGTAAGTACCCCACTGTGATTTTACTGAATTTCTGATACCTATTTACCTTTTCATGCCTATTAATTTTCCTCTGACTCTTCAAACCTACTCTCTGGAGGTTTGTATGTAATTGATACGTGTATGTACATGTCTCAACACTCGTATGCGTATACACATATAGGTGTTTTTAATGGCCATTGGCTTTTATTCTCAATCTTTTCTCTCCTTAGGGGTAATTTAGTTTTGAAATTAACATGACTTTTTTTGTCTTCTTGATTGTTTACAGGCCTCATCAGAGATGGCAGCAAAGCATCAGGAATAGCATTTGCTTAACTGTACATTCAGAGCCTTTTGTTATTTAATTTGTTTAAATTATTTTAAATTAAATTGTTTTAAATTATTTTGTCAGCCAGCCTGGAGTGCGGTGGTGCAATCATAGCTCACTGCAGCCTTGAACTTCGGGGCTTAAGTTCTCCCTCCTTGGCCTCCCAAAGTGCTAGGATTACAGATGTGAGCCACTGTGCCTGGACTTCACAGCCTTTTAGTAGTTAGTTTTTATATTGCCATTTGTTGGGGTCTTACTGCATAGGAGGTTCAGAAATTGAGTTTTGTGCATGTTCTGTCATTATTTTTAATCTTAGACCTAAGATGCTTAACCTCGTTAAGTGCTTTAGTTTGCTTTTTGTTAATTGTAAAAATTAAAAGATAGGTACTTTGTTTTAGGTAGAAGAGATGCTCATTCAAAGTTGCACATGGATAGATTTAGATATACAAAATAATGTAAAATGAACTAAGATACTTACCATCTAAGAAACTCCTGAATCATTGTATAATATGAAGCATTATTTTGTGATATGAACCACTACTTTCTAAGGAATTTGTTTTAGACTATATTTTCCTTTCTGGCTTTTCTGAAAAGATCATTAGCCTCATTCCTGTGAGATTGAGGGACTTCCTACTGATGTTTAACTTTGAACAGCAAGTATACAGATGTTGCCCTAAGTCACATCTGGTTTTCCCTCAGGTCTCGTATAGCCTATAAGGATTAGAGATAATCATAGTTTTCTTATTTTGGTTTCCTTCAATGTTTTTCCACAGAGACTCAAACTTAGTTTGCATGTAATCTAGGAAAGACCTATAAATATTTTTAAACATCTGGCAGTCTATCATAAAGGTCTTTATTTATTTTAAAAATCGGACTATGTTGGCTTTTTTCTTTTTTTTTTTTTTTTGAGACAGAGTTTTGCCCAGGCTGGAGTGCAGTGGCGCAGTCATGGCTCGCTGACTGTAACCTTGAACTCCTTGGCTCAAATGATCCTCACTCCTCAGCCTCCCGAGTAGCTAGGACTACAGGCATGTGCCACCACACCTAACTAATTTTAAAAATTATTATTATTATTTTTTTTTAGTAGAGACGAGGTCTTGGTGTGTTTCCCAGGCTGACCTTAAACTCCTGAGCTCAAGTAATCCTCCCGCTTTGGCTTCCTAAAGTGCTGGGGATTAGGCATGAACCATCGTGCTCAGCCTATGTTGGTTTTTATTGAAAGTGGCTCCTTAATTCATTTGAAATGTGTTTGGATTACTGCCTAACAATACCCACTAAGAGACTACACTACCGAGTGCTCAGATTTTGGCAGGAGCACTCAAGAATACTGTGCTACCTTTGTGAAAAGAAAGCTTTCCCCCTCTGTCTGGGACTACTGACTTCCTAGAAGGAAATCACTCAGTCTGTTTAGGATGATGGCGTGTGACATCACCATGGGATCTTGCAGGAGGAACCTGCAAATATATTGATCTTGAAAGGCCTAGTTAATGAGAGGGAAAAGCAGGCCCTTCATACTGAGGTTAGATAGCTTTTATGATCATGACTTGCTGTCATTAGCCTGCTAATTAAGTCCAACTGTTTGCTGACATAAACCACTTCTAAATGAGATTGCAAAAGGTATTCATTACATTAATGTTCCTTTTGCTAAGAAAGTATAACTGCTTCACCATGAAGCCAAACTCCTGGGTTTCTTTTTAAATATATAATTTAGAAGTTATATATATAAATTATCTGAAAAAATTTGTTCCAAATGGGTGAAACACATATTTAGTGTAGTAGACTGTTACCTGTTTACTTTTGTTTCATATTTCTGACAGTTCAGGAGTCTAATATTTAAGATTACAATATCTTTTTAGTGTTACTTAGTTGAAGAAGCAGGATTATAGCCTTATGCCTACATTTTGCATGCTTCTAGCATTGCTTTTTTCTGAGAAGCTAATGCCCTCTTAGTTGGACATTTCAGCCATTCACAGAAAGCATAATTGAAGACTTTTTATTATTGCAGTAATCTAAGCAGTGAATGGTTCTTACTTTTAAATATGCTGAATATCTTTTTGAAAATACCTTTAGGGAAAGTTGACAGGATTTTGAAGTTTATGTCCTGTAAGCCTTTTTCCAATAAGGTGTGTGTGTGTGTGTGTGTGTGTGTGTGTGTGTGTATGTGTCCAGTTTTCAAAAAAATTTGTGATGTATTAAAATATAATTAATTCTAGAAATGTATTTAATCCTTTCTTAATGATTCAGAAGATACATTAGAAACTTGCAGATGCCCTATTTGCCTGACATTGGCCATTTATTGTTTTGTGAAGCAAAGTGCTAATTAGAGGTACAGCAGGTATAGTGTCAGATAACAGAGAACTTACTGGATTTGCATTCTGAAATAAATGTCTGGTTTTAGTTTGGGTTCCTGTAACAAAATGCTCTAGACTGAGTGGGTTATAAGCAACATAAATTTATTTCTCACAGTTTTGGGGGCTGGAGAGTCCAAGATCAAGGAGTTGGCAGATTCAGTGTCTGGTGAGAGCCAGACAACTTCCCGCTGTGTCCTCACATGGTGGAAAGAGGGTGAGAGAGCTCTCTGGGGTCCCTTATAAAAGGGCACTAATCCCATTCTTTTGAGGGAAGGCCCTATGCTCATGACCTAATTACCTTCCAAAGGTCACATTTCCTAATATTATCACATTAGGGGTTGGGATTTCAACATACGAAGTTCGGGGGGTACACAAACATTCAGTCTGTAATGTTTCTTTTCCAGATACATTGGTGGTTTTGAAAGATAATTACTATTTTTTTTATTGTTGTTATATTAAGTGATATGTGTCTACAGCAGAAGTTGGCAAACTTTTTTTTGTGTGTGTGAGACAGTGTCTCACTCTGTAACTCAGGCTGGAGTGCAGTGGTGTGATCATAGCTCATTACAACCTTGAACTCCTGACCTCAAGTGATCCTCCCGCCTCGTCTTCCCAAAGCATTGGGATTGCAGGCATGAGTGACTGTGCCCAGCCAAACTTTTTAAAAATAAAAGACTAGATAGGAAATATTTTAGGCCCTGTGGGCCGTATAGTCTGTTGAGACTATTTGGTTCGGCCATTTTAGTGCAAAAACAGCCATAGACAGTACATAGATGAATGAGCATGGCTGTGTTCCAATAAAACCTTACTTAGAAAAATAGGCAGCTGACAGGATTTGGCCCATGAGCTGTATCTAGTTTTCTGGCCCCTGAACTAGACTACAAGGGACCCCATCTTAGATTTTCATATTACTGATAGCGAGTATAATGCCTGGGACTTGATGTTCAATTATTTGTTGAATTAATAGATGCTGCTTAAAGAATATATTAAAGAAAGGCATATCTTTGTCTAGAATGTATATTCTATTTCTGGTCCCAATTTCTGTTTTTGCTAATCATCTCTTTAACCTCAGCACTAACATTGGCAGGTTCTTGTTTTCTGTCAAATCAGTATACTTTAAAACTAGAATTACAGTGGAAATAAGCCAGTTGATCAGTTGGTCAATGAATAAACAAATTGTGATATATCTATACAATGGAATGCTACTCAGCAGCAAAAAGTATGAACTATTGATATTATGTGACGACATGGGTCCATCTCAGACACATTATACTAAGTAAAAGAAGCTGGACACAAAAGACATGTGATTCTATTTATATGAGAGACAAAATTATAGGAACATAAAGTAAACTGGTCATTATAAAGAGTTCATTGCAGTGACCAAAGAGGTAGGAGATTGACTGCAGAGGGGTACAGAGAACTTTTTGGGGTGTTGGAAATGTTTTATATCTTGATTATCGTAGAGGTTACATGGTATAAATGGTAGTATATAAATGGTATACATTTGTCAAAACACATTAAACTGTATACTGAAAATTTATGAATTCTGTTATTTGTAAATTATGCCTCAGTAAAGCTTTAAGAAGAAACAAACTAGATCTATTAATATATTGCCACCACAGTATTGTCATATCCTAAACTTTAGGTGAAAATAGGCATGTTTGTTTTTTTAATTATGAAAACACAAAATGAAAATTAATGGGATTTTAACTTTTTTAAATTACAGAGACCCAGCTAAGTTCCTCTGAAACTTTTGACCTTGAAAGAGAAGTCTCTCCAGGTAGCAGAGATATCTTGGATGGAGTCAGAATAATAATGGCAGATAAGGAGGTGAATATTTTCCTCTATATTTTTTCTCAGTGGTTTCTTTCCGTTGGCAGTCCTCTCTCTGATGCAACGTTGACATTGGCTGAAAAGATTTAGGTGGCAGGGGGTTTTAGTTTTGGGGGCCCTTATGTTAGGGAGAGATTTTTATAGTTAAGATTAGTTCAGCATTGTTTCTAAAAATAACAGTAGTTACCATTTCTTGAGTACTTTTGTATGCATTATTATTTCTATTAGAGATGGGGAAACAGAGGCTTAGGATGTTTAATTTGCTCTAAATCATACTACTAATAATGGTAGAAATATAATTTGAACACGGGTTTGAATCCAAAGTTACAGGGCATTTTTTATTATGTACCAATAAGTAACAGAGACAAACAGTCTTGGAAAAAATTACTATATTTATATTATGATGTATACATAACTTCCAGCCCTAATTTGATCAGAAATGCAAAGTCAAGATAGCTGTCTGATAAAATAAATCTATTTGCATCATTACCTTTCCTCACTTTACATATCTGGCAGTAACCATAAAGCTGATTGATACAGGTTCATACTTCTGATTAAGATTCTCGGTGTGTATATTTTTCCTTTTCTTTTCTTTTTTTTGGGATGGAGTTTCACTCTGTTGCCCAGGCTGCAGTGGCAGTGGCACGATCTCGGCTCACTGCAACCTCTGCCTTCCTGGTCCAAGTGTTTCTCCTGCCTCAGCCACCCGAGTAGCTGGGATTACAGGTGCACGACACCATGCTCAGCTAATTTTTATATTTTTAGTAGAGACGGGGTTTCACCACGTTGGCCAGGCTGGTATTGAACTCCTGACCTCAAGTGATCTGCCCACCTTAGCCTCCCAAAGTGCTGGGATTACAGGCGTGAGCCACCGCG
Organism: Homo sapiens; assembly: GCF_000001405.40. NCBI lineage: Eukaryota > Metazoa > Chordata > Mammalia > Primates > Hominidae > Homo > Homo sapiens. The sequence goes on along the minus strand of NC_000005.10, from coordinate 176,950,594 downwards.
CCCGGTCCTCAGTATGTATTTTTAATGTTGAGTCTAACAAAACAGTTTACCTGGAATTCCTTTAAAAATTTTTAAATCTTAAAAATCTGTTGCTGTCACAAGCAACCTGAGAGCCAAATTCCTCAGTAGAAATAAAGATTTTGGTTACATTGGTGTATACTTTCTTATCCTGCGCACTGTAAGAAAGGTTCCTTTTTGGCCGGGCGCAGTGGCTCATGCCTGTAATCCGAGCACTTTGGGAGGGTGAGGCAGGTGGATCACGAGGTCAAGAGATTGAGACCATCCTGGCCAACATGGTGAAACCATGTCTCTACTAAAAATACAAAAATTAGCTGGGCGTGGTGGTGCGCATCTGTAGTCTCAGCTATTTGGGAGGCTGAGGCAGGAGAATGGCTTGAACCTGGGAGTCGGAGGTTGCAGTGAGCTGAGATCGCGCCACTGCACTCCAGCCTGGCAACAGAGCAAGACTCCGTCTCAAAAAAAAAAAAAAAAAAGAAAGGTTCCTTTTTATATTCTGGAATTTTGTATTTTTTCTCCTCGAGACAAAGTCTTGCTCTTGTCTGCCAGGCTGGAGTGCAGTGGTGCGATCTCGGCTCACTGCAATCTCCACCTCCCGGAGTTTTAGTGATTCTCATGCCTCAGCCTCCCAAGTAACTAGGATTACAGGTGCCCGCCACCATGCCCAGCTAATTTTTGTATTTTAGTAGAGATGGGATTTTACCCTGATGGCCAGGCTGGTCTCAAACTCCTGACCTCAGGTGATCCACTAGGCCTCCCAAAGTGCTGGGATTACAGGCGTGAGCCACTGTGCCCGGCCTGGGATTTTTAAAAAAGTTTTTACAATAGAAGTTAGATCCTCTCCCTGGTCTCTGCGCTGCAGGTAACTGGGTAAATATTCTGCCTTCATGAATCATGCACACTGCCTGGTTCTCTGGAACCTGATCTGTCACAATTGACCAAGATTCCCTAATGCCAGTGGTGGTAGGAAAGATGATGACACTCCCTGCTGCAGAGTGACTGACGACAGATCCTGCTCCATAATGTCAAAATGGCCTCTGGATTGTTTTCTCAGGAAGAAACAGAATCTTCTAAATGGGAATGAGGGAATAGAATATTATTACCATAGTCATCCTAACATACAGAAGAAGCCCTTAGTTAAGGCTGATTTCATACCCATCCATGACTGCAGACGAGACTGTTCTTTGGGTCAAAGAGCATGAACCCTGTTTAGAATTTATGGTGTACACGTCTGTGCTACTATATATCAAATAGATGGAATCATAATAGCCTTTCTCACATTGAATGTCCTCTTTTTGGTGTTGCTGTTTGCTGATATCTGTGGATGTCTCTAAACAGTCTTAGAAGTTTGCATTAAAAGGGTGCAGCACACCAACATGGCACATGTATACATATGTAACAAACCTGCACATTGTGCACATGTACCCTAAAACTTAAAGTATAATAATAATAAAATTTAAAAAAATAAATAAATAAATTTTTTTAAAAAGGGGAAAACTGGAGTTTTAACTACTAGACCAAGATTACACATTAAAAGAATGACTACATAAATAAATATAGTAGGAAAATATTTTAAAAAAAAGTTTCCATTAAAAGAAGTTAGATATACTGTAGATTTTAAATCATGTACTAGTTACAAGTCACTTATTAGACAGAATGGAACATTTTATGTGCACAAAGATAGTATAAAGGGTGTGGACTCTTGCCATTGGGATCTGTGTAGGTCATTTGTCCTAAAATTTCTTGTTTACTGGAAGGTGATATGGTGTAGTACAAGGAGCTCGAGCATTGCAATTAGAAGACATGGCTTTAAATCCCAGCTCCACCATGTTTTGAATGTTGTGCAAATTAATCACTTTACTCATTCACTAGGCAGCTATTTATAGTTTGTATACTTTGTGCCAGTCATTGTTTTAGACTCTTGGGATACAAAGATAAATAAGAAAAACAGTCCCTGCACTCAGAGGGTTCTGGTAAGGGAGGAGACAGACATATAAACAGATAATTATAATGTGGTCTGACAAAGGTAATGATGGATTCCTAGGGCATTAAGGAAGCACAGAAGAGAAATGCTTTTCTGAATTTCAGTTTTTCATATGTAAAATGGAGGCAGAAATACCTATTTTACTCTGTTGGTTTGCAGGTGAAATTAGATAAAGAATATAAAACGTGGTAGAGATTTGTCACAAGTAGAAGTATCATGTGGAAAGTCATATTATTTTACTGCTTTGTAATATATTACTGTTTATTAGTTTACTAATGACAGAGAATTGCTCAATAGTATTTGAGGTATTTGGAAGTACCCATGGCATAACTGTATGTAGTCCCTCTTGATTTCTGACAATAGTCAACTTTCTTTGGAAATAGTGTTTCTGAATATCTTGCCTGAGAGTTTCCCTTAGTTGGAGTCTTAGATAAATATCCTATTCTCAGAGGAGCTAATAGAAGTTATTCAGAGTCCTCCAGAGCTAGTTTAGTCAGTTAAGTTTTTCAGTAAACTATGTTAAGAGTCGTGTGGTGAGAAGGGGAAGATCCAGAACAAGGAGGTTTCTAAGCTACACATAATTGGGTGGGGGAGGGATGGAGAGTTTGATTTGCAGGACATGCTTTTGTTTTCACTGGGTTCATTTCTCTTGAAGTGAGGTGTATTTTTTTTTTTTTGAAGTCTGAAGTTAAGGACCAACAACCTTTAAGATGTCGAGATTCAGTATCTAAGTACCTCTTTTGAAAAATAGTTGTATAATTTTTTTTTTTTTCTTTTGAGATGGAGTCTCACCCTGTTGCCTAGGCTGGAGTGCAGTGGCGCAATCTCGGCTCTGCAAGCTCCACCTCCCGGGTTCACATCATTCTCCTGCCTCAGCCTCCCGAGTAGCTGGGATTACAGGCGCCCACCACCACGCCTGGCTAATTTTTTGTGTTTTTAGTAGAGATGGGGTTTCACCGTGTTAGCCAGGATGGTCTCCATCTCCTGACCTCATGATCCACCCGCCTTGGCCTCCCAAAGTGCTGGGATTACAGGCGTGAGCCACCGTGCCTGGCCGAAAAATAGTTGTATAATATTTTAAAAGAAGTAGAAGGCGAGCGGGGAGGGATAGCATTAGGAGATACACCTAATGTAAATGATGAGTTAATGGGTGCAGCACACCAACATGGCACATGTATACATATGTAACAAACCAGCACATTGTGCACATGTACCCTAGAACTTAAAAAATATATATATATAAAAGAAGTAGAAGCAACTCTGCAAAGAAATCCCTGACTGCATGGTCCTAATAAAAGCTGCTTTGCTTGCCTTTTTCCCCCTTGAGGTTCTTCCCTAGTAGTTAATACTTAAATAGACTTTTTAAATGATGCTGGGAAAAAATACCTTATTTTAACATAAAAATGTTCAGAAACCTTCAGGGTTGCCTATGAACAGTGGTTGGAAGTGGGCTTATATTCATAATAAGACAAGTGACTACTCCCTCTTGAATACATTAATAGTTAAAGGTACATTCTCTGCATTGTATAGAGCTGTGGTGAATACAAAGGAGTATAGTGCTCAATGTGGGCACCAGTGACACATTTGCGTCATGTAACATTTCTGTGCTTAGTGAACTTTAGAAGGCCAAGTAACTGCCCATTCACCACCAACTTTAAGTAATTAAAGACTACTTGCAAATTTTAGGGTATATTGATCCCCTTTACCCCCCTGCCATCCTTCTGCTCAAATGGCTTTGCTATTTGTCTTTTCTTTTTTGAGGCCGGGTCTCCCTCTGTTGCCTAGGCTGGAGTGCAGTGGTAGGATCTCGGCTCACTGGAACCTCCACCTCTTGGGTTCAAGCGATTATCCTGCCTCAACCACCTAAGTAGCTGGGACTACAGACATGCGCCACCACCCCTGGCTAATTTTTGTATTTTCAGTAGAGACAGGGTTTTGCCACATTAGCCAGGCTGGTCTCAAACTCTTGACCTCAAGTGATCCATTCGGCTTGGCCTCCCAAAGTGCTGGGATTATAAGCGTGAGCCATCGCACCTGGTGATTTTTCTTTTGTTTTCTTTTCTTTCTTTCCTTTTTTTTTGGAGGCAGAGTTTTGCTCTGTCACCCAGGCTGGAGTGCAGTGGCGGGATCTCGGCTCACTGCAGCCTCCGCCTCCCAGGTTTAAGTGATTCTCCTGCCTCAGCCTCCTGAATAGCTGGGATTATAGGTGCGTGCCACCACGCCCAGCTAATTTTTGTATTTTCAGTAGAGATGGGGTTTCGCTATGTTGGTCAGGGTGGTTTTGAACTCCTGGCCTCCTGTGATCTGCCTGCCTTTATTGTGGGATCTGGCCAGCAGCCCGCAATGCATCGGGGCTCTCTCTTTGTTCCTAGGCAGATCGGCAGGTTGAGAAATAATAGACACACACAAGATAGTGAAAGCTGGGTCCGGGGCGGGTCACTGCCTTCTGGTCCTGGGGTGCCAACAATGCACTGAATATACCAGCATTTATTATTAAGTTTAGTGAGGGCAGGGGTAGGTTAGTGAGGGATTTAGGGCCATTTGATTATGAGGTGAGATGGTCACATGGGGATGAAGTAATTCTTTAACATAACATTTGTATGTAGAAGTACAGTACATTTCTATGTAGAAGTATAGTATACAGAGATAAGAATTTACAATATAGTATGTTCCTCAGTAATTTCTAACAGAGCCTTAAAACAGAAACACAATCTTTCCATAACCTATGATTAGCAAGATATTAATCAGCAGTAACAATTGCAACAAAAGCTGGTTACAAACAATCCATGGAAACAGGACGTGAAGCTAGACAACTGGTTAGACCAGAAATTCTCAGAAGGGAGTATGGCTTAACCCTAAAGAGGCCTAGCGGAGCTGTGGCAAGATGAGGGCGTTTATAGCCCTATCTTATCCATATGGACAGGCGCCCACCCATGCGTCTGTTTATAGGCTCCCCACAAGGGTCGCATTCCATTCCCAGAGCTATGAACATCTTTTTCTGGGATAGGAATCTTGGTGATGTGAAACCTCCCTGACTGCACGTCCATTCATAGGCTCTCTACAGGGGGAAGCACATCACGCGCTGTTGACTCGTTCTAGCAGTCCAACCTGGCATTGTCTTTACACGATCCTGCGTGCAATTTTGTATTTACAATAATCAGGAGCATTTCATCTTTAATTCCATAGCAATAGTTTCAGGGAGTCTCCCTACATGCCTTGGCCTCCAAAGTGCTGGGATTACAGATGTGAGCCACTGTGCCTGGCCAGCTTTGCAATTTTTAAGCTTTACAACTTTTCGTTTTAAGATTTATGAACAGAGGAACCTGGATTTGTGAGGAGCTTAGTGATTAAATTTGGAAAACATAGCACCTAGAACTTCCAGACCCACTTGACTTTCCCCACCTTGTAGAGAAGAAGAATAAATAGAACCTGATAGTTTCTTAATTCCTTGCAGGATCCGCTTCCAGAAACAAGGTGGAATGGGAAGAGGCTTTTTATTTCTGCCACAACATGATAGAATGGAATTACTGAAGGTTTTGATGCCAAGTGGGCCTGGGTTTGTTCACTTAGTAACTTTGTGACCAGCAAGTTACTTTGCTTTTCCAAGCCTCAGTTTCCCCTTCTGTAATAGCAGAACTAGTGATACTTCTGTCCAGCGGCTTGTTGGGAGGGATGGATATGGAAAATGACTGGTGGAGCCTGCATAGTGTAAGAACTCAACCACTGTTAGTTCCTTTCTCATCTTTTAGGTTTTACGCCTTTAGAGTATGTCTTTTAATAAAAGGCAGGTGATGTTGAAAACAGGACATTTTCTGGCAGTTTGACTTGGTATTTAGATGGCCTGTTTTCATCTCTGCTGGATCACACTTATAAGCATTAGGTTTTAGAGATAGCCCCAACCTCTTACCCCAAAAGACCCAGTTGACTCAGAAGTCACATTTTCTATGCATTGAAGTTTTGGTCGTGTTTTGTTCTTGTATCAGAAGATATTTTATTTGTTTTCCTCATGTAGTAAGGTGTAATGACAGCCCGGGTGTCCCTTGCTTTAAATGTAAGCAGTAGCTATGCAGGATGTTTTCACATTGATTGGATAGGACATGCTGTCCTTTGAAGCAAGTGTTAGGCAGTAGTGCTGCAGTGCTCACACACACTGTTGAATTAATCACTGCAGAGTTCTTGGCTCTGATCAACCTGTGTAGGTAAAATAAAACTGCCTTTAAGAGATACCAGCAACTGTAGGAGAAATGATGACTACAAAACAGAGGAATAAGAGATAGGTTTAAGAGTGGCTTTGGCAGAATTGATTATTTTAACTAATGAATTATTTGGTGCTTCTTAAGTATGTAGATCTTAGTTTCCTCTTTCAATCCAGAAAGTCACAAATAAAACACAGGTCTTAGGTCTTATGGGTCTAAGTACAGACTTATGTTCTTAACTTAAATCCTAGTTGTGCTGTTTTTGGCTTAGAGCTCTTTTGTTTTCTAACTCCTTATGTCTTAAAGTCACTTACAGTAATAACAGTCCTTTTGTGAAATTGAAAATGTGTCCTTAAGGTGCTGTTGATATGCAAAATGTGAAACCCAGCAGGCACAGCACACTGATGCAATGAGGATTGTGCCTTACAATGTGGTAGAGATCAGTGCCCTCAAGTTTTTGAGGCAGATTCTAGTCCTTCATTTGAATCTCAACACTCCCACTTACTTGTTCTGTGACTTTGCAAATTGCTTTACTGTTTTACACAAGTACTTTTCTCACGTGTACAAAAGGAGTGTGCTAATAACTTTGTAAGATTAAATGAGTAATACATATAGAGTGTTTAATACATAGTTGTCAGTATAAATATACTTACATATAAATGAGTAATATATAAACTTACTGATAAACGAGTAATACATGTAGAGTGTTTAATACATAGTTGGCAGTATAAGGCACTGAATAAGTATTGACTCTATCAGTAGTATCTCTCAATCTTTACTCCTGAATTTGATAAGCTGTTGTTGTCTCTTTGAAAGTAAGTGAAATATGGGGTGGAGTCTCTTGCAGTTCGTTGTAGGGAATGATATGAACTAAAGCTGTTATGATTGCTGTTTGTCATGTTCTTCAGGTTGGTAACAAGGAAGATGCTGAGAAGGAAGTAGCTATTTCTACCTTCTCATCCAGTAACCAGGTATCCTGCCCGCTATGTGACCAATGCTTTCCACCCACAAAGATTGAACGACATGCCATGTACTGCAATGGTCTGATGGAGGAAGATACAGGTAAAGACCCAGCAGGACAGCCAAACTCTTACTTTTTTGTGTGGTGGTTTTATAATCCTATACATTACAATGCAGGGAAAAAACATAGCTGTTCTTCAAAGTTAAAGTTGTTGTTGGTCTTGGGTTTTTTCTATCTAGTTATTTTTCTAGTACTTTTATGTTCATCATTACTTTTAGCAGGTATTTTGTCCTGTTACACATGCCTCAGGAGAAGGGGAAGGGAAAAGTCTTTCATTTTTTAATGTTTTTGTTTGTTTGTTTGTTCTGTTTGTTTTTTGAGCCAGAGTCTCTGTCACCCATGCTGGATTGCAGTGGCGCGATCTTGGCTTTCTGCAACCTCCGCCTCCCAGGTTCAAACGATTCTCACGCCTTAGCCTCCCAAGTAGCTGGGACTACAGGCTTGCGCCACCATGCCTGGCTAATTTTTTTTGTACTTTTTTTCAGTAGAGACAGGGTTTCGCCATGTTGGCCAGGCTGCTCTCGAACTCATGACCTCAAGTGATTCTTCTGCCTTGGCCTCCCAAAGTGCTGAGATTACAGGTGTGACCCACTGCACCTGGCCCAACCTTTTTTTTTTTTTTTTTTTTTTAAGACGGAGTCTCGCTCTGTCGCCCAGGCTGGAGTGCAGTGGTGCGATCTTGGCTCACTGAAAGCTCCGCCTCCTGGGTTCACACCATTCTCCTGCCTCAGCCTCCCGAGTAGCTGGGACTACAGGTGCCTGCCACCATGCCCAGCTAATTTTTGTATTTTTTTTTTAGTAGAGATGGGGTTTCACCATATTAGCCATGATGGTCTCCATCTCCTGACCTCGTGATCCACCTGCCTCGGCCTCCCAAAGTGTTGGGATTACAGGTGTAAGCCACCACGCCCAGCCTGCACCTGGCCCATCTTTTAACGTATTAACTTATTCTTTTACATAGGTAGGCTAGAAATCAGTGCAGTGCAGTGGACCTTGCATTTCAACTTATGTATTCAAATATTGAGATTCCTGTGGAACTTGAACTAAGTTCCACGTTTTTCATTCAGAATAAACCCCTTGTAGGTTTTTTCCCTCTTTTTGTAGTTTGTTTTAATAGAAATTTTACCTAGAGACAGCAGCTGAAAAATATCACTAATTTACATTCATGTCCTACATATCATATCTCTGCTGAGTTACCGAGGAGCTGTTGGTTTATCTCTTTAAGAGTGTACCAGAGGCTGGGCGCGGTGGTTCATGCCTGTAATCCCTTTGGGAGGCTGAGGCGGGTGGGTCACCTGAGGTCAGGAGTTCGAGACCAGCCTGGTCAACGTGGTGAAACCCTGTCTCTACTAAAAATACAAAAAATTAACCAGGCGTGGTGCCGGGCTCCTGTAATCCCAGCTACTCAGGAGGCTGAGTCAGGAGAATTGCTTGAACCCGGGAGGCAGAGGTTGTAATGAGCCGAGATCGTGCCATTGCACTCCAGCCTGGGCAACAAGAGTGAAACTTCATCTCAAAAAAAAAAAAGTCTGTACCAAAATCCCTACTTTTCAGACAGCATAAGACATTGATCAAGAAAATCTTGTTAATCACAGCCCTTGAAATACCACCTCTGATTTGGCCTGTTTATGATTTTAAACTCTAAATATAGTCATGTCAGCACAGCTCTCTGTGGTCTAACATGCTGAATGTAAACCTAGGTAATTGGAAGTGTTGCAGTGTTCTTCTCAGTGCTACTTGATTCCTGTAACTTAGGTGTATTTAAATGTGACATTGTATAATTATGAAGTGTTTTTTAAATTAAGATTGCCAGAGAGGCAAGCACATGTTATTTACTTTTCTTGAAGTAATATACTTTTTAGTTATTAAATAAGGAAGTACATAAACACTTAATTTAATAAATTTGTTGATTTTTCTGATTATAAAGTAGTACATGTTCATTGTAATAATAATGGCTTACATTTATTGAATACTTAAAATTAGGCACTATTTACATAAACGGGACCATGCTATATATAGCTCTCTCTATATATTATTCTGCAACTTGTCTTTTTTATTTAGCAGTAAATTTAGCTCTTTCAATGTGCAGATAAATTTTTGACGTAGTTGAGGTCTGACTGTAAAATTTTATATTCTGCTTTTTCTGTTTATAGTGTAAATATTTCATCATGTCACAAAGTTATTTATAAAAATATTTCTAATGCCTACATAATATTTGGTAACCTGGATTGCTGTCATTTACTTAATTATTACATATTTGAAATGCTTCAAGTTACTGCGTTATAATCACACAGTACTGAGCCTCTTAGCCTAAAATTGTCGCTGTATTTTGGGATTATTTCCCAAGGATATGTTCCCATATAGGGTGACAGTAAGGTAGGCTCTGGAGGGCCAGTCAGTTTGAGCTTGAGTCCCACCTCTGTTACTGACTTACTAGTGTGTGACCCTGTGCTAATTTCCAAGCTTCCCTTTATGCATCTGTGAAATAATAATAATTACCTTGTTCAGTTTTTGTGAGGTTAAATGAGGTGTTTTAAGGAAAGTACTTAACACGGTACCTAGCACATAGTAAATACATAAGAACTATTAGCTGTTGTTACCATTCCCAGTAGTGAAATTACTATGTCAGAGATTTTTTTTTAAGGGTCTCTATGCATAGCATTGTAGTCCCTAAAGACAATGAAAGTTGAGGACCTAAATCTGGCTATCAACCACTTTTAGTGGCAGAGCACTGAAGGACTGCAATCTAGATGCAGTTTTAATTTGACAAAGCTCTTTAGTCTGATTGTTTTTTTTTTAGCTGAGTGTTCCAGTGACTAAAAGAATTCTGGGGCTGAGCATTTCAAAGGAAAGAGACTATCTTGTCTGTCTTACTAAGCACTTACACAGCTGGTATTGGGTATCTGAGTCAATGACTTATTCAATACAACATCAAGGTCCAGAAATAAATGAGTTTGAGAAACTGAATGCCCCATTGAGCTCTAGGAATATATGACCTCCTTCAGGTCAGAATGATCAGGTAAGGAGTAGTATAGGATAGCTTCTACTGACATCTCCCTTACTGAATTCCACTAGTTGGTGCTAAAATAGGAAGCTTTGGCATTTATAACTGTCAGATATCGTTTAATTACAAGATAATTGCTGTTAAGCCGGTCTTCCTTACTGGAGTGTGGTGAGAGAACTCAAACTCACATCCCCAAATCCTTGTGGTTGAAATTGATTCAGGCTTGTTCCTGAATTTTCTCAAACCAATTTTCAGACTTATGCCACTAGAACCAGGCCATTTAGGTGGGCAAAATAGACTGAGTCTTATCATCATCATCATCCATTCAGGGAGGACATTTCACGTTCTCCTTGTTCTGCTGTGTCCAGGATCAGTGACCCCGTCTAATGCTGTTCAGTTGGATTTACACTCTGGATATCGCAGACTTTCAGACATGATAGATGTAAATGTGCTTTTTGATATAATAGAAAGTCCCTGTATTCTCGGCATCATATGTCTTTATAGCTTTGATGCGAATACCCCAGACCTCCATGTGAAGATGTCTGCTATATCCTGAATGACAGTCACACTTTCTTTTTCATAGGGAAATTTGTTATAAAAACTAGTTTAGAAGACAAATTTAGAATATAGTCACGTGTTGCTCAGTGATGGGGATGTGTTCTGAGAAATGTGTCATTAAGTGATTTTGTTGTGCAAACATCATAGAGTGAGTATACTTACACAAACCTTGATGGTGTAGTCTACTACACACCTAGGCTATAAGGTATAGCCTATTGATCTTGGGCTACAAACCTGTACAGTGTGTTACTGTACCGAACACTGTAGTCACTTGTAACACAATGGTATTTGTGTATCTAAACACATAGAAACACAGAAAAGGTATAGTAAAAATATGGTATTATAATTTTATGGCACCCCCATCATATAGATGGTCCGTTGTTGGCTGAAATGTCTTTTTGTGGCACATGACTGTACTACATCCTTCTTTTCAATGCCAATGTGTCTACCTAGAGCCAGAAGTTTGCTTCTTTTCTATCACCTATTACTTCATATTTACCTTTAATTCATCCAGATATTTTGGAGCTTTTCTTTTTTTTTCTTTTTTTTTTTTTTTTGAGACAGGATCTCACTCTGTCACCCAGGCTGGATTACAGTGATACAATTACGGCTCATTGCAACCTCTGCCTCCTGGGCTCCAGTGATTCTCCAACCTCAGCCTCATGAGTAGCTGGGACTATGGGCACACACCACCCCGCCTGGCTAGTTTTTTATATTTTCTTTTGTAGAGAAAGGGTCTCACCATGTTGCCCAGGCTGGTCTTGAACTCCTGGGCCCAAGCAGGCATCCCGCCTTGGCCTCCTAAAGTGTTGGGATTACAGGTGTGAGCCACCTTGCCTGGCATTGCACTTTTTTTTTTTTTAAATGGTGCTAGGCCTTATGAAGCTTACTAAAGAAGTTTTAAGATTTCTCTCTTCAAGGAGCTTGCATTATCAATGGTGAAATAAGCATTTCCCCAAGAAATTAATTAAAAGATGACACAAGTGAATAATTGTGTACCCAAGTAAATGTCCCTGACAATGGGAGAAAGGAGAGCTGCAGTGAATAAGGATGAGATCCCAGAAAGAGTGGGCTTAGCCTTGGCTTTGCAGGCTGGTTAGGTCTGGATAAACCCATAGCAAGGTAGAGGGCCCTTTCCCCTCCTATGGGTTTAGATAAGATAAGAAGCAAGGGAAATGGCCACTAAACAATAGCTTCGTCTTAATCTTCCTAAGAGAGCTCTCTGTTGATTTTTCAGGCCCTATGAGAGGGAGCAGGGTGCCCTCACTGGAACCATTCTACTCTCTGCATGTTCCTCTACTTTCCTGGGAACAGAGCTTGGGGGTATAGGTGGGTTGGGGAAGTAGAGGAATTATGCAGAGCACCTGCTAGTGTACTTGGTGTACAATAGGTACTCAGTACGTTTGATCTCTTTACTTGGTTTCCCCACCAGCTTGCCTGCCCCATCTTCCTTGCCAGAGACAGAAGTTAGTGATTGTGCTGGTTCCTCTTAGCTTTATATGACTGGAGACAGAGGCCAGGCTCCCAACCTAGTTTTAAAATCTTTTGTAAAAGGAAGCCTTTTTTTTTTTTTACTGTGGAAGGAAAGAAGTAATTTTCCCTTTTTTTTTTTTTTTTTTTTTTTGAGACAGGGTCTTACTCTGTAGCCCAGGCTGGAGGGCAGTGGTGGAATCATGGCTCACTGCAGCCTCAACCTCCCAGGCTCAAGTGATCCTTCTGCCTCAGCCTCCCGAGTAGCTGGGACCACAGGTGCATGCCATCACGCCTGGCTAATTTTTTATTTTTTGTAGAGATGGAGTCTTTTTATGCTGCTTAGGCTGGTCTTGAACTCCTGGGCTCAAGTGATTCTCCTGCGTTGGCCTCCCAAAGTGCTGGGATTATAGGCCTAGGCCACCATGCCTGGCAAGTTACTTTTCTTGAAGACACATAAGCCAAGCTGGGAGACCATTAGCCCAATGCTTAAGGGGTGGAATAAGAGAGGACGTAACCTCCCAGTATTAAGTATCTAGCTTTTCACTCCTTCCTGTCTTCCCCTGAAGCGGATCCTAGACGTGCTTGGTTTGGCTGTGTAAAAGAAATAGCAATTAGAATCATTTACATAAAGTGTCTACTATTTATGCCTACTTACCGTGCAGCACAATAACAATTATGCATATCATTAAATATATGTCTGACTAACTTTGCTGTAAGTTTTGATTATAATACTACGCACTGGTTAAGTTGGCTCAGTCTACTCAGTTTTTTGCTCAATGACGTTGTCTATTCAGAACTATGAAAAATTAGAGGGAATGCTTTTGTTTCTTTTTTTATTTTTATTTTTTGAGACAGAGTCTTGCTCTGTCGCCCAGGCTGGAGTGCAGTGGCACGATCTCGGCTCCTGCAAGCTTTGCCTCCAGGTTCATGCCATTCTCCTGTCTCAGTCTCCCGAGTAGCTGGGACTACAGGCGCCTGCTACCACGCTCGGCTAATTTTTTGTATTTTTAGCAGAGATGGGGTTTCACCATGTTAGCCAGGATGGTCTCGATCTCCTGACTCATGATCTGCCCACCTCGGCCTCCCTAAGTGCTGAGATTACAGGCGTGAGCCACCGCACCTGGCCGAGGGAATGCTCTTTAAAGGTAATGTTTGAGGGGAGAAGATTGACTACGTTGATCTAGACTAGAACAAATGCACGTTGCCTTTGCATTTACTTTCTGGAAAATGTATCTAAGGCCAATTGTGTTAGACACCTAGGGAGAATAAAAGCCCCCATTTACTCATTCAATACGTATTTATTGTATACCTACTATATAACAGATACAGTGAGCAGAATATACAATTAACAGAATATAAGTCCCTGTTCTCATGGAGCTTATTTTCTAGTAGTGGGAGGCAGACAAGAAAACAGTAAATATACAATATTTCAAGTGGTGATAAGTACTTTAGAGAAAAAAGTAAAGCAGAGGGAGAGGGGAATAGGGAATACCGAGGTCTCAGGAGGTAGCAATATAAAATAGGTGATCAGGGAAGGTCTCCTTGAGAAGATGACATTTGAACAGGGGCCTAGAGTAAGTGAGGGAATAAACTAAGAAGATTGTGAGGTGGGGAGAGTGCTACAGGTAGAAGGAACAATAAATGCAAAAACCCTGAGGTGTGAACAGGTTGAATGTGGCTGGATTAGAGTAAGTAAGGGAGAGATAAACAGTGAAACCAGAGAGGTAACGGGGAGGAGTGCAGATGGACAGAGCACAGGGTTCTTAGGCCATAATAAGGACTTTGGCTTTTCCTTGAGCAAGGGAGGAACCACTGGAGGGACTTGAGCAAAGAATAATATTTAAGCAAAGGATCACTCCACTCTGGTTGCTACTATGTGGACAGTAGATTACTGGGTTGTGGGACAAGGGTGAAAGCTGGGAAAATAGAGTCAATATTTTGTTTTTGGCACTATGATAAAGTAGAAGAAATGTCAGTTTTAGAACTAGGCAGCTCAGCTGTAATATTTCCTAACTGGCTAATATTTGACAAGTTATCTCTTTCAGGATCAGGTTCCTCATTTGTAAAATTAGTATGAGGATTGCCATGAGAATCACAGACACTTTGTAAAGTACCAGGCATTGTGACTAGCATGTAATAGGTATGCAATAAATGGTGGCTGCTATTATTATTGACTGTGCTTTCCTATCTGTGTAGTCTTTCTGAGGTCTGTGTTTCTGTGTGATGGTGAGACATAAAAGATAAGCCACTAGTTGGGTAGAACTAAGGAAAAGAAGAAAGGCAAAGCATAAGAGTCAAAGGGGTAAGAATAAGTTAGGGAGAAATAGATTATAGGAGAGTTAGGGAAGCTGAAGGCATTAACTGTATACACTTTGAGTCTAGATAGAGGGTGTGGCTTAGAGTCAGGATACTGCTAGGAGTGGACTTTCTCTTCGGGGATATCTCCTGGAAAAATAATGGTGGATGGGTGGGTAGGTAGGAGGAGGTAGGAATTCTTATTATAGATATGCCTGAGAGTTAACAGAGAAGGACCAAGGCCTAAAATAGGCTTGACTTGTGACTAAGCAAAAATGTGTAAGACCTCAGTATCTCTAAGTAAAACTTATTTCTTAAATTAGACAAAGTTGGGACTTGTTCTGTTCTATATATGCCTACCTAAATGTAATTTGTACCCTGTCCAGTCTTCTCACTTATATTAATGTGGCCTTTGTGGTACCCAGGATAATTAAGTATATTGCTGCATTGCTACTGGTACGTAGCTACTGAGATATTGACAATTGTGAAATAGCCTAGGTTTCATAGAAGTAATAAGGATTTTGGGGACAGACTGACCTGTGGGGATATATACAAATCAAATATGGGCCCTGATCTCACTGACATTTCAGTTCAATTAGGTAGATAAGACATGAACATGCATAACTGTAATGCAAGGTCAGAACTACTAAGGGACATACAAATAAAAATACTGTAGTGTTTCAGAGGAAATACAATTAGAGATTGAGAGGGGAGGGTATTAATGTAAGAGAACGGTAGGCTAAAATCACATAAATAGAAAAATGTGAAGAGTGTGTAGGAAAGAACAAGCAATTCAGTGTAGTTATAGTGTGGGCATTATGAAAGGAAATGGTGGGCAGTTGGAGAATGACAAATGTAACTTGAATCATGTGGGTTAACATTTGTATGAATTATGTGGGTCTACATTATGGAACAGCATTTTTTTCAACTCAAATAATTATTGGTGAGTGTTACTAAAATAATTATTTGTGTGTTTACCCCCCTTGTGGTATATAGGACTCTTGGATGCAGGTGTTGGAAATATGATTTCAGTAACCTTAAGCAAAAAAACCAAGTTAATGTGTGTAATAATTGGCAAGTCTGGTTAGGGCTTAGGCTGAGCTGGATCTGGGAGCTCAGATAATGTCTCTCCATCTTTGAATCCAGTGGTCTCTGTTCAACAGATGGCCTCTTCTTAAGGGACAAGCAAAATGGCTGCCAGCAGCCATAGCTTTTAATGGAAAGAAAGAATTTTTTTTTCCCTCAGACCATAGGTTAGTCTAGAGGAAGACTCTGATAGGCCTTTCTTGATTGAAGTGTCCACTTACGGTGTAGTCACTGTAACCAAGTAGATGGGTACAAGTCAGAACAAGTAAAGGAAAACCCTTTTACTAACTATGAGAAATTCTGTTAGTATCTGTCAGAAAATTCTGTAAGTCACAATAACAGAAAACATCATTAACAGTGGGTTTAACACGTGGGATTTCTTTCTCCTCACGTCACAAGTCCAGAGTGAGGCAGTTGGCTCATTGACATAATTGAGGATCAGGCTTTTGCCTTTGGTGCTACAGTCATAAACTTGTGGCTTGATTCACGGTTTCAAGATACCCGTTGCATCTCTAGGCTTCTCATGTATGTTTGAGGCAGGAAGACGGAGAAAACGTAAAGGGACATGACTGCTTACTCTGACTCCTTTGATCTAATACTCATTCCTGCATTCTCATGGAATTTGAGCTTATTCTAAATTATGGTTGAATTAAGGCAGTTCTAAATTTAGTGTTTGTTCATACCTCTAAAGTGTTTATATGTCTTTTTCTATATAAAATTATTTTATCTCTAAAGTCATTGATTAATTGCTTTTTATAGTGGTTCACCTTAAGATTTTTTCATATCCTGCTGTTAGTGAAATATTGTGCTGGATGCTGAGGGTAGGGAGGAGGGGCCTAAAAGACCCAAAAGATGGTAAGGGATATAATACAGATCTGAATAGGATCTCAAATTTATACTCAGAGAGTTTACAGTCCAGCAAGGGAAACAGACTTGGGTATGACTATGTATAGTACAACTCAGTCGAAATGCTAAGATGTAAGCACTAACCACCCACAAAGGAAGGTATTAAATCTGATTGGTGATTGGTGGAGTAAGGGAGGGCTTCTTGCTTAATTGTTCCCCTAATATTGGGCATGACTTTTTTTAACCTATTTTTTTTTCTATTAAAGATAAACATCTAGGGTCAGTCATGGTAGTTCACACCTGTAATCCAAGCACATTGGGACGCTGAGGTGGGAGGATCAGTTAAAGCCAGGAGTTCAAGACCAGCCTGAGCAACATAGGAAGACACTATCTCTGCAAAAAATAAAAAATTAGCTTTGTGTGGTGGTACATGCCTGTAGTCCCAGTTACTTCGGAGGCTGAGGTGGGAAGATCACTTGAGCCCAGGAGTTGGAGGCTACAGTGAGCTGTGATTGTGATTGCACCACTCCACTCCAGCCTGAGTGACTGAGCAAGACCCTGTCTCAAAAAAAGAAAAAAAAAAAAATCTAAACTAGCAATGAGCCTTGTAATGTAGTTCTTTAATATGGATTACTAAAAGTGTAATTACTAGATTATATGTATAAAGTTACCAGTAGCTTATGAGAGCATTCCTTTTGCCTCCAAATACTGAGGGATATTCTTTTAAAAAATATATGGCATAGTAATAGATAGTAACCAATGGCATTTCATTGTACTTCATGTTTCTTTGATTAGTAGTGAAGTTGACATTTTTTGTTTTTTAAAAAGTCAATTTATATTTCTTCTTCGAAGAAGAATTCTCTGAAGTTTGCCTCAGTGTCTGTTGGGATCTCAGTATTGTTCTTATAGTTTATACAAGTTCTTTATAAGTGATTTACTTTTTGCCTCGAAGGTGCTTTCCAGGGTTTGTTTCACTCACCCGTCAGTTCTCACAAAATTTCCAGATTTATGCAGCCTGGGCCAGCAGCCCCCTTCTTGTGTGAACACTGCCAAAGCTTTTATTTCTTGAAGTAGAAGCAGTGCTGATCCTGCAGAAAGGTCTAATCGGTGTGAACAGAAGTGGCACTGATGTGGGGAAAAGAGTATTCAAATCCATGTGGAATTGAGAGGGTGGGTGGGCAGCAAGTAGAAAGGATAAAGAAGTCATTGCCTCCATGCTGTTCCATTCCTGTAAAAAAAAAAAAAAAAAAAAAAAGCATTGCTATTGCTGACTGGATGAAGAAGCTAGAGATAGAATGAAGAGGAGGTGCGGCCTGGTCACCGGGGGTCAGCAGGGGCTGGATGCCCAAAGTATTAGGTTTAAAGGAACTGGGATGTATCTCCAGAGCAACTGGGAATTTAAAAAGGTACCTTCTTCCACTGAATAGAAAAGTAATAGAAATGAAACCAACGAGTGAAATACATGTATTTTGCTATATTTATTCTTTCTGGTAGGTTGCAAGAGCAAGCACTTTCCCTCCCAGTATTAGGATTCGGCTGATACATATCTGGGATTCTGCTGATGTTTGTCTGTCTGTCTGTCTGTCTGTCTATCTGTCTATCTATCTATATCTGTCTCCTGTTTTTATATTTGCCGCCCCCCCGTATTACATCATAAACGTCATCTAACATGCCGTTTGAAATTATTTATATTCATGACATTGCTTATAGTTTTTAACTTTCACAAATAATACAAAATGTACTTAATTCTTTTTCCTTGCTGTGGGAATATTTTTTGACAGAGGAAACCAAAGTGACAGGAGCAGCTTATAAAACAAAATGCAAAGACATTTAAGGAAGGATGTTTTGGAACAGATTCTGGGCACTAGGTCTTATCAGCTATAAAGTAGATTCTTCTTTAGTCGGCTTCACCCTAGAACTGTTCAGTGTTTTCTGGAGAGGACATTATCTTATTTGAATGCCCACAGTACTGACGTACATACTCTTAGCTACTGAATGAACTTGTAGACCAGTGTTTCCACCCCAGACTTACGTTACACTGCATGCATTTTACTCCTCTGGGATTAATAATGTAGGAGCTCCTCTCTGCAACCCCTGTGGTCTCAGTTGTCTTCTTTTTTTGTTTGTTTGTTTGTTTTTTAGAGATGGATTCTCGCTCTGTCGCCCAGGCTGGAGTGCATTGGTGCGATCTCGGCTCACTGCAACCTCTGCCTCCTCGGTTTAAGCAGTTCTCTCCCTCAGCCTCCCAAGTAGCTGGGATTACAGGCAGGTGCCACCACGCCTGTATTTTTAGTAGAGGCGGGGTTTCACTATCTTGGCCAGGCTGGTCTTGAACTCCTGACTTCGTGATCCATCTGCCTTGGCCTCCTGAAGTGCTGGGATTACAGGCATGAGCCACCGCACCCGGCCTTCAGTTGTCTTCTAACAACTTTTGTTCAACTTTTCTGTGGAACATTTCCTCATGTCAGCTCCACTAGGTTGCATTGATAAAGTTGCTGTATGATGTAGCATATGAAATGGCAGCCTGACTGCAGTGTACGTCTGCATGAATTCTCAGTGCTTTTACACTTCCCATCTTGTTCCTCTCTTAATATTGACTTTGCCTTCACTTCAGTTATCCCTATTCATTGTACCTTCATGCTAAGGAGCCCCCCACCTCAGGATTTCTCTTAGCAGTTTTCTTCTGCCAGATGTGCTTATTCCTTCCTTGAAAAATAAAATAGCTCTTTTTAACACCTGAGTTAATACCCAAAGCATTATGTGTTAAAGGAATATTAACAGCAAAAACCATTTTAGAGAAGTTCTTCACTTCATGATCTAGTCACACTTTTAAATTCAGGCATCTAGAGCATTTCGAGAAAGATAAAAGTTCAAGAAATTAATACTAGATCAGTGATCTCCATTGGAACTATCTTAGAGCCACAATCAAGACTATAATTATCTATTAATATAAGGATAAGTTTTTGTTATCTCCATTTTACTGATGATGAAATTAATATTAGAGAACTTTAGCACTTGCATTGTCAGGCAGTAAGCAGCAGAGCCAAGGTCCAGAGCTAGCATTCATTACTGTGTTCTTTCTGCCTTCCATGTGTAGAGCTGGGACACACAGGGGAATGTTTGAGAAGACCGTGGAAGCCTCAGTCGGTTTCAGGAAAGCAGAATGCTATAGTCTTTTACCTCTGAGTGCAAACATGAATTCTCATCTCATCAGAATTGACCTTGTCAGATTTTCAATTACCTAGAATAAATGGTTTGATGGATTAGACTCTTTGCTGGTGAACAGCGTCCATGTGACATAGTTGCCTCTGTAAACCTGTGAGTGCAAAGTCAAAAAAAGATCAGATGAACATTACTTCTTTCTGGTGATAGCTGTGGAGATTGACCATGCATAGACTGATCTCTAAGGAGTTTTCTAACGGCCGTATATAAAGGAAATGCTTGATAACAAGATAATATTTTCTGTTAAGTAAAAGGATTTAATTTGCCGCATCTTTATAAGCCATGCTTAACATTAAGCAACATTAGCTACCATTTATGAGCACCTGCTATATACCAGTAACAGTGCTTTTTGTATATTGTTCTAATCCTCATAACAGTCTTTTGAAACAGGTGTTATTTCACTTATAAAAGAGGAAGCTGAACTTGATGGGGAAATAATTTCCCCAAGATCACGTACCTAGAAAGTGACAAGAGCTAGGGTACACCAAGTTTAACTCAAAAGCTAGTAATCTGTGCTCTATAGAATCTTCCATGAATGTTCAGATTTTTTTGAAAAAGTATGTTTCAGGATACTAAATCCAATATGGTGGTCAATATATTTTTTAATAATTTGTGGTAAAACTGTGTGTTTGTATAAAAAGAAGATAAAGGTAATATAATTTTGAGAATAAAGGCCACCTCTGGGGTGGGGGATGGGGTGGAGGCAGAGAGATGGAATCCAGAAGAAGCATATAGTTGGCTAATCAGTTTTGGCAATATTCTAGTTCCTAAGTTGGGTAATGGGTTCACATATATATTCTTTTGTACATATTACATTATAAAACCTTTTAAAGAATTGTATGTTTCTGTTATGCACCACTGTCATCCATTACGTTTTCAGAAGAACCTTGGTAAACATTTACTAGTGAAGTTCAGACAAATTCAGTCTTTTCTCCATATGAAACTTACTTACTATTATCTTTATTTAGGTTCTGATGACAATATCCAGTGTGATTTGACTGCCATTGATGATTCTTTAGAAGGAGGGCTCTTGTGGTTTTTTCCTAGATCCTTATCTTTGTCACCTGATTTTCATACCACTTTCTTCAAAAGACAGTGGCTAGTTTATCTTTGGTATTTGTCTTGCAAAAGGACTTTGTGTGTGTGTGTTTTACTTTTAATTACCAAAAATTTCAAACTTAAAAATTGAGAGGATAGTAGTACTCTGAACCCCCATATTCTACCTAGTCATTCATCAACTCGTGGCCACTGTTGTTTCATATGTATTCTATCCATAACTCCCATCCTGGATTATTTCAGATTATATCTCAGATAACTTTTTTTTTTTGAGACGGAGTCACTCTCTCACCCAGGCTGGAGTGCAGTGGCACGATTTCGGCTCACTGCAACCTCTGCCTCCCGAGTTCACGCCATACTCCTGCCTCAGCCTCCCAAGTAGCTGGGACTACAGGCACCCGCCACCACGCCTGGCTAATTTTTTTGTATTTTTTTTAGTAGAGACGGGGTTTCACCGTGTTAGCCAGGATGGTCTCGATCTCCTGACCTCATGATCCTCCCACCTCAGCCTCCCAAAGTGCTGGGATTACAGGCATGAGCCACCGCACCCAGCCAATTAATGATAAATTTTTTTTCTTTCTGAGATGGAGTCTTGCTCTGTCACCCAGGCTGGAATGCAGTGGCATGATCTTGGCTCACTGCAACCTCTGCCTCCCGGGTTCAAGTGATTCTCCTGCCTCAGCCTCCCGAGTAGCTGGGACTACAAGTGCGCGCCACCACCCCTGGCTAATTTTTTTTCTATTATTAGTAGAGACAGGGTTTCACTATATTGGCCAGGCTGGTCTCAAACTCCTGACCTCGTAATCTACCCGCCTTGGCCTCCGAAAGTGCTGGGATTACAGGTGTAAGCCACCACGCCCGGCCAATTAATAATTTTTTTTTTAAAAGACGTAGTTTCACTCTGTTGCCCAGGTTGGAGTGCAGTGGCGCGATCTCCTCTCACTGCAAGCTCCGCCTCCTGGGTTCACGCCATTCTCCTGCCTCAGCCTCCCAAGTAGCTGGGACTACAGGTGCCCCCCACCATGCCCAGCTAATTTTTTGTATTTTTAGTAGAGACGGGGTTTCACCATGTTAGCCAGGATGGTCTTGATCTCCTGACCTCGTGATCCGCCCACCTCAGCCTCCCAAAGTGCTGGGATTACAGGCGTGGGCCACTGCGCTCAGCCGATAATTTTTAATACCACCAAATATCTGGTTTGTTCAACTCTCGTTGAGTCCAATAATTGTTTTTTTGTTTATAGTTGGTTTGTTGAAAACAGGATCCAAACAAGTTTTACACATTGCAAAAAGCTTTTGTTGCTAATGTCTCGGGCTCTTTTAATTTACAGAAGAGTCAAACCCCAAGAAGTTCTTTTTAAAGATTGAATCATTCTTGAATTACACATAAGCTTAATATTGTTAACAGTTATTGTGTCATAGTCCTTTTTATTCCCTCCATAGTATCTAATATAGTATTGTGCAGGTAGGCCCTCAGAAAATGTACTCTTAAAAGCAAAGTCTAGCAAACTTTTTCTGAAAGGAACAGATAGTAAATATTTTAGGCTTTGCAGGCCGTTTGGTCTCTGTCGCAACTACTCAAGTCTTTGCCACTGCTACTCAACTCTGCTGTTAAAGCACTAAAGCAGCCATAGACAATTTATAAATGAATCAGGCGGCTGTGTTGCAGTAAAAGTTTATTTATAAAAAAAGCTAGGCTGAGCGTGGTACCTCAAGCCTATAATCCTAGCACTTTTGGAGGCCGAGGTGGACAGATCACTTGAGGTCAAGAGTTCGAGACCAGCCTGGCCAACATGGTGAAACCCTATCTCTACTAAAAATCAGCCAGGCATGGTGGCGCCTGCCTGTAATCCCAGCTACTCGGGAGGCTGAGGCAGGAGAATCACGTGAACCCAGGAGTCAGAGGTTGCAGTGAGCTGAGATTGCACCATTTCACTCCAGCCTGGGCAACAAGAGTGAAACTCTGTCTCAAAAAAAAAAAAAAAAAGCTGGCTGGCCATCCCATGGTTTGCCAATCCCTGTTCTAGAGAACTGTTTTTTTTGTTTTTTGTTTTGTTTTGTTTTGTTTTTTTTTGAAACAGGCCACACCCGGCTGAGAACTGGTTTTTCAAAATGTCCTCTGTAGTTAACTAGGGTTCTGTAAAGGTGTGGGAAGGGCAGAATGAATACTGGTAACACTCCAACTTGACCACCCACCTCATCCATACATTTATGTATTTTACATATTGCGTTTCATGTGAAATTTTATTTGAAAATAGAATTCTCTCTTTTTTTAATTGAAATTTGGCTGGGTGTGGTGGCTCATGCCTGTAATCCCAGCACTTTGGGAGGTCGAGGTGGGTGAATCACTTGCGGTCAGGAGTTCAAGGCCAGCCTGGCCAATGTGGTGAAACACCATCTCTACTAAAAATACAAAAAATAGCCAGGTGTGGTGCTGCACACCTGTAATCTCAGCTACTCGGGAGGCTGAGGCAGGAGAATCGCTTGAACCCAGGAGGTGGAGGTTGCAGTGAGCTAAGATTGCCTCATTGCACTCCAGCCTGGGCAACAGAGTGAGACTCCATCTCCAAAAAAAATAAAGAAATTCATGGGTCTGTGACACACTACTGGTGCTTTTTTTTTTTTTTTTTTTCTTTTTTAAAGAAATGGTGTCTTATTATGTTGCCCAGGCTGTTCTTGAACTCCTGGGCTCAAGTGATTTTCCTGCTTTGGCCTCCCAAAGTGTTGGGATTATAAGCATGAGCCAACCATACCTGACCACTACTGGTCTTTATAATAACAGTGACTGCTATTACTACTATTTTCTGCAAGTCAGTATGCGCTTATGCAGTAACTCTTATTTTACCTGATCTTTGCAGGAACCTTACAAGTTAGGCTTTGTCATCCTTAGGGAGAAGTAACTTGCTCAAAATCATTAAGCTAGTAATTGGTAGTGTGGGAACTGAGACTTAGACCTGTTTGTTTCAGGGCCTATTTTTTTCCTCTCTATTTTGAAAATTTCAAATTTCAGAAGTATGAGATACAAAAATAGTGTACTTCCTTTATCCCTCCTATTTCTCTTCTTTTTCTTTCTCATATGTATATTTTTTACATATATGGACCTTTCCCTGGCCATTTGAGAGTTAGTTGCATAAATCATGACACTTTACCTCTAAATACTTTAATTAGTATGCATCTCTTGTTGTTGTTGTTGTTGTTGTTTGAGACAGGGTCTTGCTTTGTCACCCAGGCTGAAGTGCACTGGCATGATCATAGCTTAGTGTAACCTTGAACTCCTGGGCTCCAGCAGTCCTCCCACCTCAGCCTCCCTAGTAGCTAGGACTGCAAGCACTCACCACCACACCCAGCTAATTTTAATTTTAATTTTGTAGTGATGGGGGTCTTGCTATGTTGCCCAAGCTGGTCTCAAACTCTTGACCTCAAGAGATCCTTCTCTCTTGGCCTCCCCAAGTGCTGGAATTGAGCCACTGAGCTTGATCAGTGTGTATCTCTTAAGAACAAGATCATTCTCCTACAAAATTGTAACACCATTATTATACTCAAGAAATTTAACATTAATGCCAATACTATTATCTAGTATACAATCCACATTCACATTTCCTCAGTTGTTCCAGTAGTATCCTTTGTATCTCTTTTTTGGCGTAAAGGATCCAATTAAGCATCATACGTTGCATCTAGTCATATCTCTTTATTCATCTTTAATTTAGAGGGTTTCCCCAGTCTTTTTCCCTCCGTTATTTTATTATGAAAATTTTGAATACACAACAAAGTTAGAAGAATCTTATTACTTAGATTCCATTAATATCTTACTATGTTTTATTACAAATCTATGTATCTCTCTAGCCATCCTTTAATCCATGTTATGTTTTTGATGCTTTGCAAAGTAAGTTGCGAATATTGGTTCATTTTCCCTGAAATACTTAAGCATGCAAATCATGAACCAAGTTCCAATATTTGTGTGAAATGCACAAATAAGTGTAAATTTGCAGAGTTTGGGCATATGCGTATACCTATCAAGACACGGAGCATTAATATCACCCTGGAAGATTCCCTCATATCTCTTCTTCACCCCTCCCCCTAAAGGCAACCACTGTTTTATTTCTGTAAAATTCTGCTTATATGATATTCTGCAGTTTGATATTAGTAGAATCATACCAGTATACTTTTATGTAATCTTTCACTCAGCATAATGTTTTTGAGATTGATCCGTGTTATATTCCTTTTTATTACTGAGTAGTGTTCTAGCATATGAATATACCAGTTTCTTTATACAGTTCTTCTCGGTGTATTTTTCACTAAGAATGCTGCTGTGAACATTCTTGTACAGGTTGTATAGTGAGCATAAGATTTCACATCTTTTGAATAAATAGCTAGGAATGGAATTGCTAGGTTATAAAGAAACTGCCAAACCTTTTTCCAAAGTAGTTATACCATTTTAATTCCCACTAGCGGTTTATGAGCATTCTAGTTATTTTACTTGTTTTACATCTTTGCTACCATTTGATACTGTTTTATCCCCTTAATTTTAGCCATTCTGGTAGTCATGTAATGATTCTAATTGCATTCCCTGATGGCTAATGATGTTGAGCACTTTTTTTCACATGATTGTTGTCTAATTTTGTATCTTCTGTAAAGTGTTCAAATGTTTTGTCCATTTTAAAATTGGATTATGTGGCTTTTTATTATTGAGATAGGAGTTCTTTGTATGTCCTGAATACCAGTTGTTTGTCAAATGTGTGTTCTACAAATATTTTCTAGCGTGTACTTGCCTATTCATTTTCTTTTGCTTTCTTTTTTTTTTTTTTTTTGAGGCAGAGTCTTGCTCTGTCGCCCAGGCTGGAGTGCAGTGGCACGATCTCAGCTCATTGCAGCCTCTGCCTCTCAGGTTCAAGCGATTCTCCTGCCTCAGCCTCCTGAGTAGCTGAGACTACAGATGTGTGCCCGGCTAATTTTCGTATTTTTAGTAGAGTCAGGGTTTCACCATGTTGGCCAGGATGGTCTTGATCTCCTGACCTTGTGATCCACCCGCCTCAGCCTCCCAAAGTGCTGGGATTACAGATATGAGCCACCGCGCCCGGCTGCCTATTCATTTTCTTAATGGTATCTTGCTGTGAAGAAGATTTAAGATGGTCTAATTTTCAATTTTTTCCTTTATGGTTATTATTTTCTATTTAGGTATATGGTACATCTTGAATTGATTTTTGTGTATGGTGTGAGTTAGGGGATGAGGTTTATTTCTTCTATATAGATATCTAGTTATTCTAACTCAGTTCATTAAAGACTTCTTTTTCTCAGTGGGTTGCTTTGGTGCCTTTGAAAATCAACTTACTGTATAAGTGAGAGTTTATGTCTGGCTTCTCTTTTTTATTTAATTGATCTGTTTGTCTTTATGCCAGTACAAGTGTCTTGATTATAGTAGCTTCATAGCGAGTCTTAAAGTCAGGTAGCAGGTAGCATAATTTCTCATTTGTTCTTTTTCAAGATTGTGGTAGATATTATTTTTATTATTTTTTTTTTTTTGAGACGAATTCTCACTCTTGTCCCCCAGGCTGGAGTGCAGTGGTACGATCTCGGCTCACTGCAACCTCCGCCTCCCAGGTTCAAGCGATTCTCCTGCCTCAGCTTCCTGAGTAGCTGGGATTACAGGCACCTGCCACCATGCCTGGCTAATTTTTGTAGTTTTAGTAGAGATGGGGTTTCGCCATGTTGGCCAGGCTGGTCTTGACTTCCTGACCTCAGGTGATCCACCTGCCTCGGCCCCCCAAAGTGCTGGGATTACACGCGTGAGCCACCGTGCCCGGCCAGATTGTGGTAGATATTCTAGTCTTTCACGGTTTCATATAAATTATTGAGCCAACATGTAAATATACGATGTAATTTCCAGTTTTATCCCTGATAATGTGTGTGTGTCTGTGTGTGTGTGTGTGTGTGTGTGTGTCTGTGTGTGTGTATATATATATATATTTTTTTTTTTTGAGACAGAGTCTTGCTCTGTTGCCCAGGCTGGAGTGCAGTGGCACAATCTCGGCTCACTGCAACCTCTGTCTCCTGGGTTCAAGCGATTCTCTTGCCTCAGCCTCCTGAGTAGCTGGGATTATAGGCACCCGCCACCATGGCCGGCTAATTTTCATATTTTTAGTAGAGACAGAGTTTTACCAAGTTGGCCAGGCTGGTCTCAAACTGCTGACCTCAAGTGATCTGTCCGCCTCAGCCTCCCAAAGTGCAGGGATTACAGGTGTGAGCCACCGTGCCCGACCTTATTTTCTTTCTTTCTTTTTTTTTTTTGCTTTTGATACAGTCTCACTGTGTTGCCCAGGCTGGAGTGCAGTGGCACTGTCTCAGCTCACTGCAGCCTGTGCCTCCCAGGTTCAAGGGATTCTTGTACCTCAGCCTTCCAAGTAGCTGGGATTACAAGCATGTGCCACGACACCCAGCTAATTATTTCTTGAAGTGTATTTTATCTGGTAGAACTACTGGATATGGTTCTAGTCATTTCAGTCTTATTCCTACTGTTTGCCTGATACATCTTTTTCCATTCTTTTAACTGATCTGTGTTTTTATTTTTAAAATGTGTCTCCTGTAGACAGCATACCATTGGGTCATGCTTTTATCCATTCTGACAATCTCTTGTTCTCTCAGGTACTAGGCTTGATAATCTTATTCTAATAGACATAGCTTCTAACTCAAACATCTTACGTGATTATGTTGGTAGTTCCTAAATAGAAATCTTTACAACCCTAAAAAGATAAGCATTGCTGGGTCCATTTACAGATGAGCAAACAAAGGCTTAGGGGCTTGAAGCCTATAAATACCTGCTCTGGCATAGGATTCAAAGGCAGTTAGACTCCAAAGACAGTACTGCAATGCCAGACTGCCTTCTTTGCTGCAAAAAAGCCACAGAGGCCCCCTGCCTACTCAAAATGTAGCGATTTTCTTTCAAGCTTAGAGATAAGCCTGTTCTCTTAAGAGGTGCACTTTTACTGATCTACTTCCTTACTAGTACTTGTCTATAATATTTATAGCTTAATCTTTAACAGCTGAAATTTTTGTTTAAGCAATTTGATAATATATACGTAGAACTTAAAAGTAATTCATATCTTCTGACCCATGAATTAAAGTTTGAAAATCTACTCTAAAAACGTCATCAGAATTTAGATGAAATTGTATAGACAAAGATGGTTTATCAAAGCATTATTTATAACAATGAACAACTTAACCCAATGTTCAAAAACAAGACGAAGTATTATATAAGGATTCAAAATAAAGACTGAAAGAAAATACAGTATTCTGAAATATTAACCATAATTTGGAGGAGACTAAAAGCAGAGAGACAGATGATAAAGCAGTGTTAGTAGAAGTGGACGGACTTGAGAATCTTTTGGTGAGAGAAGCAAACCTTGTGACTGGTCAAGATGAGAGAAGGCAATCTTAACTCAGGTTTCTGGCTAAGCCAATTGTAGGGTACTCAACTTAGAAAGCCCCTCTGAGTAATTCAGAAGATCACTGTGTTGTTTAACTATTGCTTGTACTTCCTTACTGACAACCCAGTTGGTATTTATTTAGCAGCAACTATAACGCAGATACTGTTCTGCAAGCTGAGGGTACAGTACTAAACACAAGTCAGTGTTCTTATAAAGCTTACCTTTTTGTGAGGGAAACAGATAATAAATACAATTTAAGAAAAACAAGGCAAGAAGAGGGGATGGAGAGTGACTAGAACAGAGGAAAAAGGGGGCTCGATTAAAGAGAAAGATCAAGGGAGACTTCTTGAGGTGATATTTGAATAGAGTCATTCTAGGTCAGGGAATAAATACAAAGGCCCTAAAGCAAGAGTGTGTTTGGCATGTTTCTTAGAGCTGCAGGAAAGACACAATGACTGAATTAGATTGAGCGACAGGGGGAAAGGAGAGAAGAAATAAACAGTGGTCAGATCATGTGAGGTGAGGTTTTTGTACTTCATTCCAAATATGATGAAAAGCCATAGGGGGGTTGAGAACGAGGGAATGATGTAATCTAACTCTGGCTACAATGTGGAAAATAATCTATAGAGGGATGGGGCAAAAATGGAATTGAGGAGACTAAGCAGGGGTGGAGGGGAGTGGCTGTTGCATTATTCCAGGGAAGATCTGATGTTTGCTTTGACCATAGAGGTAGCTGTGAGGTAAAGAAGTTGTCAGATTTGGGAATGTTTTGAAGGTTGAACCTACAGGATTTATTGGAGTGTGAGAGAACAAGAAAGACTAAGGTGAAATCAAGGTTTTGCCCCAAGCAACTGGGTTAATGATGACTTCGTTGTTTGAGAGCGGGAACACTGGGGCAGGAACAGGTTTGGAGGAAGAAATTAAGAATTTGGTTTTGTACATAATTTTAAGATGCCCAGTGAATAACCAAATGAAGATGTTGAGCAGACAGCAGGATATACAAGTCTAGAAATAACCTTATGGGAAATATTACTGCATATTTGTATGCTGATGGAATGATCTAAAAAAAGAGGGAAAAATTGATGTTTCAGGAGAGATGATGGCAGGAGGGGAATCCTTAATTAAGCAAGAAGCGTTCAGATTCAGGATCAAATGGAAAAGTGAGCCTTAGATAGCCGTGTGGGCAATTCATTCTGTGCAATAGGAGGGAAGGCAGAGGATATGGGTACAGATGCAGATAGACTAATACTTTTGGTGGTGGAAGAGTGTAGAAGTTCTCTCAAGTACTACTTTTTTCTCATCAAAAAAGTCTGAAAGGTTGGTTTAACATTAGAAAATCAGTTAATATACTGTATCATAGAACAAAGGACAAAAACCACACGATATCTAAATGGACACAGAAAAAGCATTTGAGAGAATTCAATACTCCTTCATGACAATAAAATACTCAGCAAACTAGGAATAGACAGGAACTTCCTCAGCCTGATAGAGGGCGTCTATGAAAAACTCACAGCTAATATCATACTTAATGGTGAAAGACTGAAAGCTTTCCCCAAAATCAGAAACAAGACAAGGATGTTCATTCTTGCCACTTCCATTCAACGTGGTAAAGGAGGTTCTAGCCAGGACAGTTAGGAAAGAGATGAAATAAAAGCCATTCAGGTTGGAAACGAAGAAGTAAACTACTCTATCAGATGACATCTTTTATATAGAAAATCCTAGAGAATCCACTGAAATAAAACAAGCCTTTAGAACTAATAAACGAGTTTAGCAAGTTTGCAGGATACAAGGTCAATATAGAAAATGAACTGTATTTTTGTACACTAGCAGTGAACAATCTGAAAGTGGATTTAAGAAAACAGTTACATTTAATATACTATCAAAAATAATAAAATACTTAGGAATATGTTTGACAAAAGAAATAAAAAACTTCTCTGAGAATTATAAAACATTGTTGAAAGAAATTAAATAAGACCTAAATAAATGGAATGGTATTTCCTGTTCATGGTTTAGAATACTTAATGTTGTGAAGATGGCAGTATTCACCAAGTTGATCTACAGATTTCAAATCCTTTTCAAAATCCCAGCTAGGCTGGGCATGGTGGCTCACGCCTGTAATCCCAGCACTTTGGGAGGCTGAGGTGGGCGGATCACCTGAGGTCAGGAGTTCGAGACTAGCCTTACCAATGTGGAGAAACTCCGTCTCTACTAAAAATACAAAAAAAAAAATTAGCCAGGCATGGTGGTGCATGCCTGTAATCCCAGCTACTCAGGAGGCTGAGGCAGGAGAATCACTTGAACCCAGGAGGCGGAGGTTGTGGTGTGCCAAGATCGCACCATTGCACTCCAGCCTGGGCAACAAGAGCGAAACTCCTTCTCAAAAAAACAAACAAGAAAACCCCACAAAAATCCCAGCTAACTTTTTTTTGTAAATTGACAAGTTGGTCCCAAAATTCATACCAAAATACAAGGGGCACAGAATAGAACAGTCTTGAAAAAGAACGAAGTTAAGAGTTCATACTTTCCAATTTTACAACTTACTAATTAAGACATAGAGGTAGGCATTACAGTTCAGTGGAATAGAATTGAGGGTCCAGAAGTAAAACCATACATTTGTGGGCAATTGATTTTTGAGAAGAATGTCAAGACAATTCAGTGGGGGAAAACAAGGCAGTCTTCTCAATATGTAGTGCTGGGACAACTGAATATCCACTTGCAAAACCATGAAGTTGGACCACTTGTTTATACTACGTATGAAAATAGATCAAAGACCTAAATGTAAGTCATAAAGCTTTTATAGGCAGCTACAGTGGTACACACTGGTAAGTCCCATCTACTTGGGAGGCTGAGGCAGGAGGATCCTTAGAGTCCCACCTGGGCAACACAGTTGACACCTTGTCTCAGCGAGTCAGGGGAACTATCTTAGGGATAAAACTTCACAACCTTAGATTTGGCAGTGGATTCCTAGATATAATACCACAAGCACAAACAACAAAAGAAAAAGATAAATTGGACTTTATCAAAATTTAAAACTTCTGTGCATCAAAGGACACTATCAAGAAAGTGAAAAGACAACCTACAGAATAGGAGAAAATATTTGCAAATCATATGTATGTTAAGGGTTTAGTATCCAGAATATATAAAGAACTCTCTTTCTGTTGCCCAGGCTGGAGTGCAGTAGTGGAACCTTGGCTCGCTGCAGCCTCTGCCTCTCCACCTCAAGCAATCCTCCCACCTCAGCCTCCCAGGTACTTGCCATTGAATCATAGACTTTAAATGGGTGGATTATATGGTACATGAATATATCTCAGTGAAGTTATATTTAAATAAAAAAGAATAGTGATACAGGAATCGGAATGGATATTAGAGTTTTGAGAATAGCAGAGAAGATGTGAAATAGTACCTGGGAGGATGGAAGAATGAACCGACTAGGAAAATATGTCAAGATTGCTAGCAGTAGTGAGGGACCACTTAAGATTTTGATCTTAAATAAAAAGTGAGGCCAGTCAGCACGTTGTATGTGTTTTTGTTCCTGTCACATTCAGCAGATAGGGACACCTAATAAGTAGGAGGGCTGTATTTAACCAAAGTCGGATTGCGCAAGTAAGTACAGTAGAAAGAAGTTGAGGGAATATTCAAGGGGAGTGTTAATATGATAACTATGTAAACTAAGGCAAGAAGGAATGCGAAGATATGACAGGGTAATCGTGAAAAGATGATAGTATAGGATTAGATGTCCTAGTGGGGCTGAAGGGTGATTGGTGTAAGAACATTAGAGAGGGTGAGTTGGGAAAGATAGGTGATGGTGAACAGAGAATGGACACCTGAAATTGAGCTCATCATTAATGATAGGCTCAGCTAGAGTTCTTCATTAGAACCATGGAAGTCAGAAAATGAATTCATTGTTTGCTTACTTCTCCCAGTTATGATACATAGCTGGTACCACTTTAGATGCAGGGGACAGAAATTGACTTATAACATTTGGTGGGTGCCTTAGGGCATTAGGCTTACTCCTCTCTTGGAACCCCACTGGAGAAAGGCTGAGATGGTAGGAGCCATAGGAATTAATAAACAAGAGGTCAGGGAACTGAGAGGCTGGAGTACTGGATGGATCATATCTTGGGTTGAAGTTACAAAAACTGCAACTTCATATGGTTCAGTCTAATATGTAGATATTGAAATCACCAAGAATGGTGGCAAATGGGGATGAGAATCCAGTTGAAGAGGTATGCCAGAGGAGGCTTGGATTTCTTTTGGTGCTCAAGGTAGACAGAATTGAGGCATAATAGGATTGGTCCTGGTTAATCTCATGAAAGAACAGCACTATCCAATGGGAACTTGTGCAATGATAGAAGTGCTCTATAGCTGTGCTGTCAAATATGGTAGCCACATATGGCTATTGAGCATTTGAAATGTGGCTCATGGGACTGAGGAATTCAATTTTTTTTATTATTTTTTGAGACAGAGTTTTGCTGTTGTTGCCCAGACTGGAGTGCAATGACATGATCTCGGCTTACTACTGCCTCTGCCTTCCAGGTTCAAGCAATTCTCCTGCCTCAGCCTCCGAAGTAGCTGAGGTTATAGGCATGCGCCACCATACCCAGCTAATTTTGTATTTTTACTAGAGATGGGGTTTCACCATATTGGTCAGGCTGGTCACGAACTCCTGACCTCAGGTGATCCACCCACCTCGGCCTCCCGAAGCGCTGGGATTATAGGCGTGAGCCACCGCTCCTTGCCCAATTTTAAATTATATTTAATTCTAATTAAGATTTAAATTTAAGTAGCCACATGTCTCAGAAACTGATAGATAATTTGTTTTTTTGTTTTTGTTTTTGTTTTGTTTGAGACAGAGTCTCATTCTGTCGCCCAGGCTGGAGTGCAGTGGTGTAATCTTGGCTCACTGCAACCTCCGTCTCCCGGGTTCAAGCAGTTCTCCTGCCTTAACCTCCCGAGAAGCTGGGGTTACAGGCACTCACCACCAAGCCCGGCTAAATTGTCTATTTTCAGTAGAGACAGCATTTTGTCGTGTTGGCCAGGCTGGTCTGGAACTCCTGACCCCAAGTGATCCGCCTGCCTTGGCCTCCCAAAGTGCTGGGATTACAGGCGTGGGCCACCTTACCTAGCCAATAGTTTGTTCTAATAATAGCCTTTAATTGAGACTGGTCTCTGAGGTCGTTGGTTGTAGGGAGGCAGTGAGCATGGCTGCCTCACTCTGTGCAGGTGGAGCTCGTCTTCCCTTCTTTTCCTTATATCCCACTGAAGAAGTGCTAGGCTGAAAGAGGGGTGATCTTAGCAGGAAAAGACACAACTCTGTGGCTTCCCATTATTTTCTACTGAGGTGGTTTTGAGGTTGAGGGAGACAAACTGAGAAGACTTTAACCACTTGTCATTCTGTAAAAACTCCCTTCTTTGTATATATAATTTCTGGTCTCCTCAAGGAATCATTGTCTTTACAATTTATAGTACTAGGCCATATGTTTTTTATTGTTGATTGTTCCTCCTCTTTGAATTTTGGAAACAAATATGTTGATGTTTATATAGTATTGATAATTGTTCTATAATGCCTAGGCTATTTATTTGTCCATTTTGTTTGTAAAATTTAGTATGGAAACCACTTAAGACTAAGATCTAACCCAAATTGTAGGCTAGCTAGTGGTCACTGGTTCCATGGATGGGTTTAAGTCTTTGGATAAGGCTAAGAAATAAATCTGGAAGAAGAATAATGAAAATTATATAAACAAATAGTGAATAAAACTAATGTTTACTGAGTGCTTTCTGTGGGCTGGATACTCTTACAGTATCTGATATGATTGTTAGCAAAACTCATTAAGGTTAAATGCAGTTATCTCATTCAACAGGTTAGGAAATTGTTACTCAGGTTACAGAACTTGCCTAAGGCCACACAGCTAGTAGAGGCCCAACCTGGACACCTGTTGTCCAACTCTAAAGCCAGTGAGTGCCCTTCACCACAAGGCAATACTGATTATTTGTATCTTAACAGTGCCAAGCCACAGTTCTAAGTACAACTCCTTAAAGCATTTCCCATGCAGTGGAATATAAGCAGCTGAGGTAATGGTCATATGTTTAGTGTTGTCTCTCTCAGCTTTCAGTGATACCTGTTCTCTTCTACCTTTCCCTGATAGTTGTACTCAGACCCCATTGTTCCTTTTTGAAATCTGTGGCTGCTGTCATCAGCAGTTTGGTTTTTGGATATATGTTTCATAATGAATTCTCTGCCTGCAGCTAGTTTAAATAGCTATCTCAACCCTCATAAACCACAAGTACTCCTTCAGAGCAACCTACATACACTTCTCTGCTCTTTTGTAGGGGCAGTAGGTTTCAAAGGAAAAACAGCGGCAAGCCCCAGTCCAGTCCATTGTGATCATAACATTTAATAGAATTACCGTATAGTCCTAACCATCTATCAATATCAAGTCTCTCCCTTCAAATTTTCTTCTACCTGCCCACTTATTTACCACTTACCACTTTTTCTCTTCCCATTCTTTAGCTTCTTATTTTCCAGGAGAGGCAGCCTGCTCTTGTAGAAGAACATATGCTTCTGTAAAGTCAGATTTGTATTGCATTCCTTGTGCTTTTTGCTTTTTTTTTTTTTTTTTTTTTGCTTTGTGACCTTGATCAGGTTACTTAATACTTCATTTACAGTCAGGCGCAGTGGCTCACGCCTGTAATCCCAGCACTTTGGGAGGCTGCGGTGGGTGGATCACAAGGTCAGGAGTTCAAGACCAGCCTGCCCAAGATGGTGAAACCCCATCTCTACTAAAAATACAAAAATTAGCCAGGTGTGGTGGCAGGCGCCTGTAATCCCAGCTACTCAGGGGGCTGAGGCAGGAGAATTGCTTGAACCTGGGAGGCAGAGGTTGCTGTGAGCCGATACCACACCACTGCACTCCAGCCTGGGTGATAAGAGTGAGACTGTGTCTCAAAAAAAAAAAAAATTATTTACTGTAAAATAGAAATAATGATATATTCTTTGTAGGGTTGTTGTAAAGATAAAGATGTTTATAAAGTCTCTGGCACAAAATAGGTCCTCATAAAACAAGAGCTCTTTTTTCCCCTGGAATCTATTGATACAGTTTAATTCAGCAAGTATTTATTAGCATTTAATCTGTCCTAGACTCTGCTGAGGATGCTGAAGAGAAAAAAAAAAAAAAAGAAACAAAATAAAACCCAGAGTCTCTGAATTCAGAAAGTTGCATGGTGTAGAAGGAAGACTGACATATAAGTGAATAGGAACAGAAATGTGGTAAATGCAGTAGTGGTATATGGACAGTACTAGAATCAATTAATTCTTTTTCCATCCCTATCTGTGGAGTGGTTTCCAAGTATTTCTTTTGGAAAAATACGTGATAGTCAAGATGGGGGACAAGTAGAGAAAGAAAAATAAAAAATAGAACTCCTAAAGGATTCTGTAATCTTTGAGGTGCCAGCCTTTTAAGAATGGATTTTAGCAAGGCACTTGATAAAATCTCTCATGAAGTCCTCGTACATAAGATAGAGAAGTATGGGCTGGTTGATAGAATAGGAGGTGGATTTGAGGCTGGTTCTGTCCTGGATGTTTTTCTCCTGCAGTACTTTAATTTTACTTATAAAATCTCTGCATTGGAAGGAACCTTAGATCATTTAATCTGTGCCTGACTATATAATCTGATTCCCCGCTTCTAGTTTTTAATTTGATTTACAGAAAAGTATACCATGAAAAGTATGCCTCCTTCCTCTTCCAGTCTTCAAGTATTCCTGTCATCCTCCGCAGAGGCAAACACTATTACTAGTTGCTTGTGTGTGATCTTGTTTTATTACGCATATCTCTTTACACCTTGGGTTGTAGTTATTTGAGTGTGTATGCTGTCTCCATTAGTAAACTGCACTCTCCTTAAGAGCAAGGACAGTGCCTCATAATTTCCTATATCTCCCCAAATTACTTGCACATTGAAGATTGTCAATAAGTGTTTGCTTAATTATTTAAAGGAAAGTTGGACCAGAGAGAAGACAGGCTTCTCTGGTAACATGTCACAGTTTTGTCCTTGGCCATATCCTTTACAACCATTTTTCCCTAGTGACTTGGATAAAGATGTAGAAAGTATGGTTGTCATATATGCAGAGGACACATAGCTGAGAAGGAGAGCTAATAACATCAGATGACAGTTAAGACTGCAGATGATCTCAACAAATAGGAGTGTTCAGCTGAAAAGAACAGGAACAAATACAAAATCCTGCATTTAAGGGGAGAAAAAAAAAATACCCAGCAACTTAGTTACCAAAGTACAGAATTAAGAGACTTGTCTTGGTAACATTGTATGGTATGGTATGGTGTGGTGTGGTGTGGTATGGTATGGTATGGTATGGTATGGTATGGTGTATGGTATGGTATGGTGTATGGTATGGTATGCTATGGTATGGTATGGTATGGTATTAATTTTTTGAGACGATCTAGCTCTGTCACCTAGGCTAGAGTGCAGTGGTGCTATCTCAGCTCACTGCAGCCTCAACCCTCCTGGCTCAGGCGATCCTCCCACCTCAGCTTCCTGAGTAGCTGGGACTACAGGCAAGCACCACCATGCTGGCTAACTTTTATATTTTTTGTAGAGACGGGGGTTTCACCCTGTTGCCCAGGCTGTTCTCGAACTCCTGGTCTCAAGTGATCTGCCCGCCTCAGCCTCCTAAAGTGTTGGGATTACAGGCGTGAGCCGCTGCACCCAGTGATAACATTTTATTTGAAGATAATTTGGGAGGGTAGGGGATGGATCTTAATTTCCTTTAAGTTCAGTTTGAGCCAGTAGTATACCAGGATTGTCAATAAAGCAAACACAGCCTTGACTGAATCAGTAGAGTATGAGTCCACATGGGGTAGCCCA
The DNA here is from genome assembly GCF_000001405.40 of Homo sapiens. Taxonomy (NCBI): domain Eukaryota; kingdom Metazoa; phylum Chordata; class Mammalia; order Primates; family Hominidae; genus Homo; species Homo sapiens. The sequence continues at coordinate 176,913,541 of NC_000005.10, read as the reverse complement.
TGGTTCTTCTGTTCTTTTTACTAGTTGGATTGTTTGTTGAATATTGGATTCTGTTTGGGGTGCTACACATATTAAGGAAAACTGACAAATTGGATTGTATATCTAAAAGAGGTTAATTAGGAAGGTAAAACATAAGTATAGGAATCAGATCTAGATTCTATCCTGGGTTTTACTATTTAGTAGTTTTGATAGCATGGTGAAGTCAATTCCTCTTAGTTTATTTCCATACCATTAAAACTGGGGAAAAGTAATAATACCAATCTGGAGGGTCATCATAAGGATTAGAGCTAACCTAGGCACTCGAAGATTTGTCAATCCAAATCTTAATAGAATAGCCATAGTAACTAGGTATAGTTCTTCCTTTGATGATGGTTGCATTTTAGTGGGGCAGAAAACTGAGTAAATCCAAGATGTTGTAATGCAGCTTGTTAAGTGTTCAAAGAGGTGACTTGTGGAAAGGTGGGTAAATGTATTCATATAGTCCCCAGTAAATGCAGATTGAGGCAGATTGCAATTAGAATGGATTTCCCTAGGGGGAAGTGAATTTCCCTCAGTGAAAAGATACAGCCAAGTTGGCCGGGCGCAGTGGCTCACGCCTGTAATCCCAGCACTTTGGGAGGCTAAGGCACGTGGATCACCTGAGGTCAGGAGTTTGAGACCAGCCTGGCTAACATTGTGAAACCCCGTCTCTAATAAAAATACAAAAAATTAGCTGGGCGTCGTGGCGGGCGCCTGTAAATCCCAGCTACTCAGGAGGCTGAGGCAGAAGAATCACTTGAACTCGGGAGGCGGAGGTTGCAGTGAGCCGAGATTGTGCCATTGCATTCCAGCCTGCGTGACAGAGCGAGACTCCATCTCAAAAAAAAAAATAAATAAAAATTTAAAAATACAAATATAAAAAATTAGCCAGGCATGGTGGGACATACCTGTAGTCCTAACTACTCGGGAGGCTGAGGCAGGAGAATCACTTGAACTCGGGAGGCAGAGGTTGCAGTGAGCTGAGATTGCTCCATTGCACTCCAGCCTGAGCAAGAAGAGTGAGACTATGTCTCAAAAAAAAAAAAAAACAAAAAACAGTCAAGACTGTATCATTACTTGTCAGGGATGTTTATAGAAGGCATTTTCATATGAGTAGGAGGTTGATCTAGAAGGTTAGGCAAACGGTGGCCAGCCATGGGTCAAATCTAACCAGATACCTGTTATTGTAGATAAAGTTTTATTGGAACATACTCATTTGTTTATGTATAGCCTGTGACTGCTTTCCTGCTAACAGTGCAGAGTTGAGTAGTTGTGACAGAGACCATATGTCCTACCAAGACTAAAATATTTACTCTCTGTCTCCACAGATAAAGTTTGCTGACCCCTGGACTAGATAAATGCTTCACAACCTAAGTTACTCGTAACCCTGCTAAATTATCTGTTGTGGGGATTTCAGGTGTTAGGAGGAAAGAAGGCAGAGTTTGAAGTGAAATTGTTGTAGTTTTTCTTGTTATGCAAGGAATGAGCTGGAAAACACTTGATTAAATAACCTCCAAGATCCTTTAAGAGACTATTTTATAAACAGATGTCTTTTGGTGTGAGAGACAATGTATTTGTGTATCATTTGGGCTAAAGCCATTTATACCCACTAGAATTGGGAGGTGGTATTAGTGTAGTGAGGAAAGACTGGTTGTATTAACTGTTCTGAGCCACAGTTTTCTCACTGCAGAACTTTTCAGAGTTTTGTAAAGATTGGAGCTCATGTAGGCACTCGGATGGCTATCATTACTATATTTCATAGAGGACCTCACTTGAGTGTGTGTCATACCAGATAGAATTTTGCTTGGGAAAGTGTAAATCCCTCCCTTGAGTGCTGCAAGCTGGGATAGTACACAAAAACCTTTTCTTGGTGTGGAGTAGATCTTTAGATCTCATGGCTTAGCATACAGCGGAATATCTTGTGGCGGACAGAATATTGTCAAAACATTTGTTTTGGTGCAAATGTTACAATCGCTATTCTCAATTCTAGAAAGATTGAGACTTCCCAAACAATGCACTTCTTCCAGTGGGATAAGGTTTTAAACTTTGCTTCTTCCTGTGCATTTTGTCTTTTATATTCAGAGTCTACTGGCAGCTAACTATGTGTATATATATATATTTTTTATATTAAAAGTATTGACTCGGAGACAAAAAGAGGCCAAGACCAAGAGTGACAGTGGGACAGCTGCCCAGACTTCTCTAGACATTGACAAGTAAGTAGGTATGCTGCATTCACGGAGCTCTTGTATAACATACCATCGTTTGGACTGAATAAAAAGACCAATTCCTATCTTACCCTGTATTTCTTTGGCCTGCCAATTGCTTCATTGCTTGGATGCCTGAATTTTCTTTTCTTTTCTTTTCTTTTCTTTTCTTTTCTTTTCTTTTCTTTTCTTTTCTTTTCTTTTCTTCTCTCTCTCTCTTTTTTTTTTTTGAGATGAAGTTTCACTCTTCTTGCCCAGGCTGGAGTGCAATGGCGTAATCTCAGCTCACCATAACCTCCGCCTCCTGGGTTCAAGCGATTCTCCTGTCTCAGCCTCCCAAGTAGCTGGGATTACAGGCATGCGCCACCACGCCCGGCTAATTTTGTATTTTTAGTAGAGGCGGGGTTTCTCCATGTTGGTCAGGCTGTCTCGAACTCCTGACCTCAGGTGATTGGCCTGCCTCGGCCTCCCAAAGTGCTGGGATTACAGGCGTGAGCCACTGTGCCCAGCCCTGAATTTCTTTTTCTTATTCCTAGTCTCTGTCAGTGTAGGTGGCCTCTGTATCCCTTTTTAATACACTAAAAGCAATCCTGCCACCCACTCCACTTCTGCATTGCTCTTAGGTTTCTGTTTTCTTTAATTTGCTTATTGGTATTTGGTGCTCTTTGGGAAGCATTGAGCATTTTGTATAATAGTACAGAAGTTGAATTGCAAAAGGTTGGGCAATATAGAAGACTTTTTGGTTGTGTGTTGCAGCTTGACTGAGAAAGCTCATTCTGAGGAAGGGGTCAGAATCACAATTCTCAATTAATTATTCAGCCCCATTAGGAAGGAACTAGTCTAACTATGGTCTTATAGGTAATAATTGTCAGAAACTAGATTTGCCTGACTCATAAGATCCCCTTGGTTTTAAGAAGCTAAAAAAAATTTTCCAAAGCATGCTATCTTGGACATCAAAGATAGCACAAAGGTGCTTCCTCCTGAAAGTAATGTCATTACCAACAGTAGATTAGAGCAGTTACTAAGCAGAAACTTTTATCTTTGAAACACAGATCTTAGACCCTGAGTTTCAGGGCTGTCTTCCCTAATTTAGTTGAGCAGAGCTGATCCCTTTGGAATCTTACTGTAATGTAGACATTCGTCTAGGAATTCCTCACATTGTATTGCAGTAATTTGGTTTTAAAAAAGAATATTTCTGTATTCCTGGTTAGTCTGAGTTTTTTGAGAGAGATACTTGCCTTAGTTCATGTTTATATCCCCAGCTTCTAATAAAATGTATCTGAGACAGCAATAATAGCTGTTTGTTTAGTGCCTAATATTATGTGCCAGTCATTGTGCTAGGTGCCTTGTTTGTAAGTCTCACTGTAGTTGATTTAAGGTAGTTATTCTTTCGTTTTTTAAGTAAGGAAACTAAAGAGAAATTTTATGTAACTGGTTAAGATCACTGCAGCTAGAAGTGATAAAGTCTGTCCAACTCTGAAACTCCTGCCTCTTATGCAGTACTTCTGTCTCTCATGTAGTAGGGAATTAATGTTTTTTGCATTAATTGATAAACCTTGAAAGGTATACTAGTCTAGCTTTTCTCTTAAGGCAGCATTTTGCTTGCATTCTTCTGGATAATTAAGTATTTGAGAGACTTATTTCTGCTATTTTAAACATCTTCAGAAAAAGTCTTCCTTATAGCTAATCCAAGTCTCCCTTGCTGTAGTTACTGAATAATAATGGCCAGAAAGAGATGTCCAAGATAGCATGCTTTGGAAAATTTTTTTAGCTTCTTAAAACCAAGGTGATCTTATGAGTCAGGCAAATCTAGTTTCTGACAATTATTACCTATAAGACCATAGTTAGACTAGTTCCTTCCTAATGGAGCTGAATAATTAATTGAGAATTGTGATTAAAGGGCCTTGCAGAGGTTCTCACCACAGAGAAAATACTTAATAAATACTCATTTTTTTCTTTTACCCCCAGTGATTCCATTTTTACTGATGCCCAATACACTTTACCTCAAGGACCTACTTTTCCTCTCTTTACCCAAACTCTGCTCTTTTAAAAAAGGTAAAGATAGCTATGCATATAAAATTACGCAAAAGCCTCTGGCAGAACCACATGGCTTTTAGTAACTTCTTAGTTGATGTTGCAGATTGTAGAATTAAGGAAGTCAGCATATAGACAGACTTGATTTGCTAATCAGACAAGTTCATCCACCCTGGTAAAAATGTCAACTTAATTTAATGCTCTTGGTGCTCCCTTTTCTGTTGAAATTTTAACTTCTCTTTGAAAAAAACTATTACACTTAATTTTGGAAGAGTTCGACAGAATATTTTATGTCTGAAGAGCAATCAGCATTGTTTGAGATAGTTTGAAGAGCTGATTTCATTACCATCCCACTGCTGCAACAGCAGGGTACAGAGAAACAGCCAGGGAAAACTGCTAATCACTCAGTCCTTTTGATTGGCGTTGGATTAGTTTTATTGGTGATCCTGCTGAGTGAATCTGCATTGGTTGATATGTCTCCTCCATAGAATAACTTTGCGACGTAAAAACACAATTTGAGACATATCCAGGGGCCCAGAGGCAAAAGCACATCTTAAAACTGTGTTTTCTTCCTTTTTTCTTATTGGATAGGAATGAGAAGTGTTACCTCTGTAAATCCCTGGTCCCATTTAGAGAGTATCAGTGTCATGTGGACTCCTGTCTCCAGCTTGCAAAGGCTGACCAAGGAGATGGACCTGAAGGGAGTGGAAGAGCATGTTCAACTGTGGAGGGGAAGTGGCAGCAGAGGCTGAAGAACCCAAAGGTATGTGTAGAGTGTTTTGGGAAAGGCCACCTAACCCTCCTGGTTGTCAGTTGTAAGAGGCCACAGTTCTGTTCTGGCTTTTCCCTCTTCTCCCTCCCCTCTTCCCTCTATTTATCTTGAAACAAGATTTGTGCTTTTTAAAATTATTTTTCCTTTTAATTTAAAAAGTAATACATGTTCATTGTAGAGAATATGGAAAGTTCAAAAAAATATAAATAATCAGGGGAAATCATCACCTATAATTTAGCTACTCAAAGATGATAACCTTTAATGTATTGGCCTATTTTCTTCCAGTCTTTTTTTCTATGCATTGTTAATGTAATTAACACTATTCTCCCTCTCCCCCCTTCTCTCTCTCAATATATATGCAATAAGCACACACACAACATACTATATATCTAGTACTATGTGTATACTATATTCTGTGTAGTACTCGATATGTAGTTTTCTCACTTGCATTTATGAAAACTTAAGATGTAGTGTAAACATCATTTTGGGTTTTATTTTTAAAAATTACTATTAATGTTTATATCACACAGATGGTCATTTAACCATACACCTATTATTGGACATTTTGGTTCTTTTGTGTTACAAGATTGTATTTAAAACATTAATCAGTCTTTGTACCACTGATTATTTCCTTAGAATACATTTTCTGATACGGAACTATTAGGTCAGTGGATGTACAAATTTTAAAGTGTCTCGAAACCTGCCAAATTGCTTTCCGGAAAGGATATCCAATTTATAATCCCACTGCCAAGAATATATGTGAGATCAACTCTGTCGAACTCCTTAGGAAGCTGCCAGGTCTGGGCCCTGGTCACTGGGAAGGATGGATGTACTTTTGGGGCCTTGTAATTAGAGATCAGGAAGAGCAAGTCTTGGCTTAGAGATGAAAGATAAAGCAGCAGCTCCATATTCTAGGGTTACCGACAAAGGAGTCACTGTACACACTAAAATGGGGAAGCCATTGTCTGTCATGCCAGAAGAAAGAGACCCCTCTCTGTGAATGGGGTGATTTTGAGGCGGAGATTTGGAGTTATGGTTTATAGGTAAGCACTTACTTATACAGCCAGTTTATTCTGGGATCACTGCCTGTAGACACTACCTTAAAATTTATTTTCTATTTTAAATCCATGATACTCTGGGCATAGCGATGTATTCTCTTCATTATAGTTTGCTTTTTCACTTGTGAAACCCTCGTTTATTAGAAAGCAAAAGACTTCCCTAGAGCTGTGGCCCCCACACCTTTTCTCTTCTATGAACACGTGTGATCTGGGCTGTGGAAGTTGTATTTTAGACTCTGACATGAAGTAACCTTTTCATCTGTTTTTCTCTGTTACAGGAAAAAGGCCACAGTGAAGGCCGACTCCTTAGTTTCTTGGAACAGTCTGAGCACAAGACTTCAGGTGAGGACCCCAGGACCAGTTTTCTGGGCTTCTGCCTAAGGCCTTTCAGTGAAGATAGCCATTGCCAGCCCCCTGACTATTTGCTGTGGTTATCTGGGTACACACGTGATCCAGTCAGCCAGCCTTTGAGACTCAATCTAGGTCATCTCTCCTTAAGGAAGTTGGGGCAATATGCTGTCTTTTTCATCCTGTGTTTCATTTCAGGCTTTATAAATCCTTGGATCAGGACAGCCTGTTGAACTCAGAAAAAACACTATCAAAACACAGGGGAATACGACAAGCCCCAAGTATACCTTCTAAAGGAACAGGCACAGTAAACTAGATGTGCAGACATTATTGCTTCCTTCTATTGTTTTGTGCATCATTCATATGTTACCTTTATCTTAGTGTCGCAACCTGTGATCCTGAGCGTTTGTGCGTAGTATTTAGGGAGCAGTAGAGTGGATTGGTTAAGACCATTGCAGGGAGTTAGTAATGCCAAACCTCATAGATTGCAAGAATTGTATCTGGTAAAGCTCCAAACATATTCCCTGGCATAAGTAGGCTCTTGATAAATGTTAGCTGCTATTATTACTGTTGTTATTAGTCGCTATTGTTAAAATTCACCAGATGTGGATGGAAGAGGAGCTTTTGCTTAAGCCTGGTGAGATGTGCTTACCATCTAGTTCTAATAGTTCATTCCCACCAAGCAAATCTGTTGTGCCTTCTGATGACTATAAAAAGGCAGCCTCTCCCAGCCTCATATCCTGCTGTCTCTAGATCACCAGTTTGTGAATCTCTGCAGGTGGCAGATTTCCCTTGGCAACTTCCTTGTTCCTCAAGTCCAGAATTGAAGTAGATTTATTCAGAGGTTGTTCATTCAAAAGTGTTCATCTGAGTGCCCCTGCAGCTGAGTCTGTTGGACACTAATGCTCACCGTCTGTGGGTTTAGGGGATTGGGGATCTGTGCTACCTGGATAGGCCTGATGAGAAGCAGTGCCTAGAGCACGGAAGCAAAAGATCAGTGAGAAGTGCTATGATTACCAACACTACTACCAACATTATTATTTTTTCTTTTATATCACAGATGCAGACATCAAGTCTTCAGAAACAGGAGCCTTCAGGTGAATTGGATTGTGCACTGAATTGTGGCTGTCAGCATTTCTGAAAAGTGCAGGCCTTGTCCTGTGTTCTGTGTGTAGTGTGATACTCAGACTGTTGCAGTAGAAATCACTGTGGAACTATTATGACCTCTCTCTCAGTATGACTCTGTGCTCCCCATTTAGCTAAAGATTGGATAACTCAATTCATTCATTGTGTTAAAACAAACAGAGTGAAAGTTATGTCTTATTCTTCTGTACCTCTCTATCCCCATCCAACCCTGGTTTTCTGACCTGGATTCTCAAGCAGCTTGGGAATTTGGATCTCAGTTCTCATTCTCTCAATGGCCAGCTTTAAGTAGTATATGATTTACCCAGTGACCTCATCTGTGAAAACAGAGTGATGATATGTGGTGGGATTATTACAAAGATTATTTGTACTAATAATCCCCTGATATGTAAAATCCCCTGATACAGTGCATAGCATGTCCTTGATGCTTAGTAGGTGTATATTGAATCTGAATTTTTTTCCTTCTCTCTAGGGTGCCTTCACCAGGGATGGAAGAGGCAGGCTGCAGCAGAGAGATGCAGAGTTCTTTCACACGTCGTGACTTAAATGAATCTCCCGTCAAGTCTTTTGTTTCCATTTCAGAAGCCACAGATTGCTTAGTGGACTTTAAAAAGCAAGTTACTGTCCAGCCAGGTAGTCGGACACGGACCAAAGCTGGCAGAGGAAGAAGGAGAAAATTCTGAATTTCTAGGGTCCAAAAGTTGACAAAACCATTAGTAGGAGGGGTGGGCCATGTTCATTAAGCCATAGTGGTCCCTAGTTCATTGTTGAGCAAGTTTTAGCCCTGCAGTTTTCACCACCAGCACCTACCCAGCATTCTGGTTTTTATGTTTTTTATGATCTATGCAGACAACTGTGTATTCTGTTTTATAACAGTTTGTTTGAATTTACTTACAGTTAAAAAATTTAAATATATTTATGTTTGTACGAAATCTTATTTCAATAGATGGAAATTTTAATTTTTTTTTCCTTCATGTTGCAGGGTTTGGGGTGGGGATACTTTCATTGTAGAGGTAGTTTATTAGACTCATAAATCACATGCTGAATGAATGCCATTACTGATCCTTGACATACCATGTATATATTCACTTAATGTGTACTGCACAATTCCGAACATTGGTTACTCCCTTGACTGTTTCTGACATAATTCTGGGAGGTGCCAGGGGCATTGACTCCCACTACCTATTCTGCTATCCCTACCATTCAGTGACCTGTCCCTTCATCTTGTACTCACACAGTGGAATTCTCAGCCTGAGCATAGAACATTTGAAGGATGTGTCCTGCCATTCTTCCCAGGAATGTGCAAGTGAACACTCTGTTATTAGATGCCTATGCAATTATTTTTTCTAAATAGATTAACCAGTGGGGATGCCAGGCATATTCATCTGTTCAAATCAAGATTGGGTCTCTTGATGCCAAAGGTTAGCAGCAACAGGACATGGCTTCTGTTTTGGTAACATTACTAACATAGCGCACATTCCTCACCGTGTTGCCTAGGAGCTTCCAGTGCAGAACAGAGATGTGGTCTGTTCTCGGTGCATGCCATGTGCAGACTCTGAAGATGAGAGGATGTCAATTGGCAGAAGGAGCTACCTGAAGGAGATGACCAAACAAGGATGTGAAGAATGCTAGTTTTGGCCAAAACTGATTTGAAGTTGTAATGAAAAACTGGGGGAGGTGGCTGTTGACCAGGAAAGGATCTTGGGACAGGATAAACAGGCACACTCAAGACTCTCCTAACTTCTGATTTTGTCCAAAGTTATCTTTTCTTTTAACATGAAAACGAGGTATGTGTTAGACTGGGGAGTTAGCAGATAGCTGGGATGGAAGACAGCACAAACATTAAGGCCTTGTTCCTGCCTAGGTCCCTTTGCACACAACCTTTTGAGTTAGAAGAAGGCAAGATGGCAGTCTCACTGTCTTTTCCTTCCATAGATAATGTCTTGCTGTTGGATGGCACTGACCTAGTGGCTAGCAGCACATAAGAAATAGCTGTTATTTTTTGAGCAACTACTACGGTCCAGGCAATGTATGTGGCCTTCATTTAATCCTCATAGCAACCCTATGGGGTATAGGTATTATCATCTCAATTTCCAGATGAGGAAGCAAAGGCTTAGAGTAACAAATAAGCCACTTTTTGTCCATGGCAGTGGAACCACAGTGCCCCTACTCTTCATTCCTGAAGAAAATGCTATATTTTGACTCCAGTATTGATTATTTTCCTGTTTTTCTTCTAGTGAAAAGTAGTTTATCAGTTATGTCCCATAAGCTTAACTCTCGCTTGTTTTCTCTTTCATTAAATGGCAATTTATTGGAGGTAGCGCTGTATAAACAGGGGACAGTGTGTGTATCTGTTTGCCTGAAGATAAGAAAAGGGAAAGGGTACTTCTGGAAAGTGAATTATTTAGCTTAAAATTGAGCAGTTTCCCTAAAACATGAGTCAGCAGCAGGAGGGTATGGATCAGCCAGACCAGGAACCACAGGCTTAATTATTAGCTAATGGGGAGTCAAGGGAAGAACAGCTACCCACTTCCCCCATCGCCTCCTCACAACCGTCTTGTTTGCCCACAGTCTTATTCTCCCCATGCTGTGATCCTGTGAGAGGAGCATTAGTGAAAGAGTGAAGAGACAAAGTATAAAATGTGTGAGATCAGCCTACATCTGCACCCTGCTTCTGATAAAAGTTAACCTCTCTGAGACCTGGCTTTCTTGTCCATAAAATGGGAAAAGATCATACTAACAGGGTTCTAAGGATTACCATAATGTGGATAAAGCTTTGATCCAGCACAATGTCATCACATAGAAGAATGAGTTAGTGGCAGCAGTTATTAATGTGATGCTAGTCTATGTGTCACAAATGATGTTGCACTGAGGGGTGGAGGGATGGGGGACGGGTGCAGATGCAAGAGGAGATAGTTTTCAGAGGAATGTGTACTCAGGAGGGACTACTCGGGCTCCATCAACCATCAGGCTTCCACAGGAAACTTGGGTCCCAGGCATCTAGAGTTCTCCTAGGGCCCCTGGATTTCTTTTACTTCTGAAAGATGAGAAATAGCTGTTCTGCTGATGCTGCCAACTCACGGAGAGCTGGGAAGCTCCATAAACTTCACAAGCTATTGCCGTAAATTGGAAGAGATAGAGGGGGACTTCTCTTTGTTAGGCGCTGTAGTTGTGCTTTTTCATTTAGTCCTTACAGCAGCCCCAGCAGAGGTTGTGCCTCGCCCATTTCCCCCAGGCATTCGCCATTCTGCTGTATACCCACAGAGTCCTGTTGCAAGTACCTGAGACTCTGCCTGAGGACTTCTCTTGGTTTGTGTTGGCACAAGCTGAGAGTACCAGGGAGTTAGTGCCCCTGGGACAGCTCTCAGCCAGTGGAAGTGGGAGGATAGATACCCCAGCTTCCTCACTCAGTGAGGGACAACTCTAAGGCACATTCTACCTATTTCTCAGGGTTCCCTGTGGGAGTGAACCTCTCTAAGCTCCCAGTAACAATTAACGTACACTTCCTTGGCTTCTTTCTCTTCCTACCTGGCTTCCAGCTCCTCTTCTGTATTTTCCTGATCAGGACTGGGACTAGGGTGATGAGCCTTTATTCTTGGGTTCATCTAAGTGCAAGGTTGGCACCCGTATGAACCTGAGAGGGTCTCTTTACATTCTGTACCCTAGGCATATCATTTGCATTGCCCTGATTCTGGCCCTGTCCTGGATCACTTCCCAAATAAAGTTATTTGCATTCAAATTAGGTCTGCCTCTGGGTTTACCTAACCTAAAGCAAATCCTATGAAGACATCAGTCTCCAAGTTTTATACAAGGAAAACCGAGGCTCAGAGGAATAAGAAATTTGTCTAAGGTCTTTCAGTTGGTAATGAGATGGGATTTTGAAACCAGGTCTGCCTGACCCCAGAGCTGAAGCTTTCTGTACTATAGCACACTACTTCCTACTTCTCATTTCAGTCACAAAACTAATGACTCAAGGGAAATTTCAGGTTTGGATGAGCTCATTTTTGCCTGTGAATCAGGGTAGCTTTGGCCTTAGGTTGTTAGCAGATGGGAATTTGGGGAGGGGAAGGCAGGTAGTAAGTGGATGAGAGGGTTGTAGTTGTCAGTGGAAAGATGGACTAGTGGAAAGACTGCTGAAACCATATGCACCAGGAAGACAGTAAGAGCTTGCTTGCTTCCTCTCAGTTTCAAAAGCCCTGGACTTTTTTTTTTTTTTTTTTTTTTTTTGAGACAGTCTTGCTCTGTCACCCAGGCTGGAGTACAGTGGCGTGATCTCGGCTCACTGCAACTTACCCTGCCTCCCAGGTTCGAGCAATTCTCTTGCCTCAGCCTCCCGAGTAGCTGGGATTACAGGTGCACACCACCACGCCCGGCTAATTTTTTTAATTTTTAGTAGAGACGGGGTTTCACTGTATTGGCCAGGCTGATCATGAATTCCTGACCTCAAGTGATCCGTCCACCTCGGCTTCCCAAAGTGTTGGGATTACAGGCGTGAGCCATCATGCTTGGCCAGCCGTGGACTATTGAGATTGTGGGAGGGCTCTTCAATTTAACAAAAATTAATTGATACTTGTTCCTTGCCAGATAAAGAACTGAGGTCTGAGGCTGCACGGGTGAATAAGAAACATTCTCTGGGAGCCCATAGTACAATGGGGAAGAAGAACACATAAACAGATGCCTTTAATAAACAGATATAAATGCAGTGATACAAGAACATGCATCATAATACGGAACCAATAAGCAGACCACACTCAGCTGGGGTCGGCCAGGAGGAGCTTTTCAGAGAAGGGCTCCTCATTGTCGTTGATGATTATAATTTAAGGGATGAGGAAAAATGAGGTGAAAAGGTGGGAGAGGCCAAAGGGAGGGTCATTCCAGACAAGTCAGTGCAAACAAAGACACAACAGAAGTAGCTCGATGTGTGTAGGAGAGCTGCAAGGCACATTCACGGTATAAAGGGTGTGGAACAAATTGGGGGAGCTTATTGAGGATCTCTGTGCCTGGCATGGGCACTGTGAGTGGTGAGAAGCCTGTGAGCAAGCGCAGAGGGAAGGCCTGACCTCCCAGCCCATCGGCAGTGCTCTGGTTGTGCCCACCTCTCCCCCAGCAAACTGCCTTTCCTCATTCCTTAGCTCCATCTCTACAGTTGGAGATTGGCACTAAGGGGCTATGAGGGAACCTCGTGAGGACTTGTCCTTCCCTTTGTTGGTCAGTGGCCATCTGGTGTCTGAAGAGAACCGCTGGCAGCTGCAGTGCCTCTGCTACAGCCAGGCTGTCCCAGCTGCTCACAGACCTCAAGCTCAGCCATCCTTCTCCCTCCACTGGCCTTGACCCAGACTTTCCCTGGCATTCTGACTAGGGAACCAGGACCCCTGCTCCTGGGGTCTGGACACAGACCTTCCAGAAACGCAGATGAAGAGCCCTGGCCATGCTTGTCAGGGGCATATCCTCACCCTGGCTCAAGAAATGGCAGGCTATCTGCATGAATCACAGCTGGGCCTTTCATAGTCAGTTCCACATTCTCCTCTCCCAACTGAACAAAGTTGAAAGGGACTGGGATCCCAGGCTAGGCAGGATGCTGTGTTGTTTGTGACAGCCACTCTACCCTCTGCCACCCCATCCCCCACTTCCCTGCCTTTCACAGCCTATATGCCTGGTTGGTACCCAGTAAACTTCACAGCAGGACTGATGTTTGGCATGTTTCCTGGCCTCTTCATGCCACTACTGATAGAGGAGCCACTATCTCTGGTCTCCATCCTGATGTCATGTGGAGGCCTACTATCTGTGGATAGAGTTACTGCTGACAAGGCAGCCTGAAGCTTTAAAGTGTATCCATGCCTTCAACAAAGATTGTTGCAGGCTGTCTAGTATTCTACATTGGTGCCCCAAGGTTCTGTGCCTTTGAGGAGAAATTCCCACAGAAAAACAGCTTGTTCGCCAATAGCTCCACAGCAGCCTAACACTCCCCTTCTTCCAGTAGAGAAGACCTAAGATGTGAACCTACTCTCCCTGCGCAGGCTACAGACTAAAGGCTAGACTCCGCAGTCTGCCTGTCACCTCCTCTCCCACTATATATTCCTACCTTGGTGTACCCTCTTCAGGCGCCTGGAGCTGCACCTCATTGCTGTGTGTGTGTGATTTGTGGTTGTGCACATGCTCTCCACTTTGTCAAGGACCACTTTTGTCAGCATACTGCTGTTCTTTCTTCAAGACTCAGCTTCTTCAGCTAGCCCTGCCCACTCTCGGCAGAGTCAGTCCCTTCCGCTTGTGCTCCCACATTGCCTCTTGCTCAAAAGTACTTACCATAACCTTTCCAGGCTAGGCGCCTCCAGCTCCTTCTAGGGGCGAGCCACCACCTCAGAACTCACTATATTTGCAAAATAAACAGCCCTCAGCATTGTAGAGGGAATGGCCCAAAATCTTAGACCCAGTTCAACGCTCCACTTCGCGGTAATCATCTTGCTCAAGTTTTCACCACAGCCTTGCCTAGCCTGGGCTACTCTTAGGGCAGGCTTGGAAGGAAGTGCAGCTTCCTGAATTAGCTGATGTTTGGTAAGTGGTGGTGGAGGAAAAGGGTGGGGCTTGAGGATATTATAACTCGGGTCACCCCTGAGTGTTGCTTTTGGTCATTGGGGTGCCTCATATTGCCAGACAAGAGCTCAGACCTGAGGAGAGTGACTAGCTTCTCTGTGTCCCAGGTAAGCACTTCGGTCTAATTACTGCCTGCTCCTTCCACAGCTGTCTTGTCCTCATCCCTCCTGTTTGGCTCACACCAGGGGAAGTGGACACTGGAAAGATTAAGCCAGCTGGTTCTCTTTCTTTGTTTTTGAGATGGGGTCTCTCTCTCTATCACCCAGACTGGAGTACAGTGGCACAGTCAGGGCTCACTCCAGCCTTGACCTCCTGGGTTCAAGTGATCCTCCCACCTCAGCCTCCGGAGTAGCTGAGACTACAGGCGCACACCACCACACCCAGCTAATTTTTGTTATTTTTTTCTAGCGATGGCGTTTTGCCATGTTGCCCAGGCTAGTCTCACATTCCTGGGCTCAAGCAGTCTGTCTGCCTCAGCCTCCCAAAGTGCTGGGATTACAGGTGCAAGCCACCACACCCAGCCTGCCAGCTGGTTCTCGATGGCAGCTCCCAACATCAGTAGAGGTCCCTGGGGTACTTTTCAGGAGGAAAACTCACTTCGTGTAGCCCATTCAGCTAAGGGAAGCCACGGGGCCCTTAGGCAAACAGACCCTGGGCTCTGGGGATACTGCAGTGAAGGAGACATGTCCCTCCCCACAGGGAATCTCAGTGGGAAGAGACAGAGCTGAATACATTTACCTAGCATATAAATATTAGGGCTACTTGGGGATTGCTTCACAGATTCTGTCATGTAAAAATGCTGAATAAATATTGAATGGATGAGGGAATGAATGAGTGAGTGAATGAATAAATGAACTAGCTGGGCCTTGAGAAAGACACGTGTGTAGCCCTTAGTCCTTTTCGAAGGTAATTGCCCCAGTTACCTCATTTTATCCTTGAAATAGACCTGCAGCATAGAACAAGAATTCCACACCCCTATTTGACAGATTTGGAAACTCAGCATAGGTATGTATGGTTTGGGGAGATTTATCAGAAGCTGATTTGTTGCTTTATTAAATAAAAAACTACCCACTCCCCTTGCTTCCAATTTTGGAAAGGCACATTAGCACATACCTATACCAGACCCTGTGCCGGCCATGAGTGCAGAGGTGATCAAGTTGGGTGGGGTAAGGAGGTGAAGAAACTAGAAGCAGAGCTATCAGTTTAGGAGGCTGTTGTAATAATCAGGCCGGAGGATGGTCTGGTGCAGTGTGTGGGAATGGGGAGGAGGGGATGCAGAGGAGAGCTCTTAGAGAGCCTGAGATCCAATTGCATAGAGGAGGTGAGGGTGAGGGATGCGCGCAGGCAGCCCGAACGGCCGTGTGAGTGAGCACACTTCGATGTCTCCAGTCAAGGTGGAGAACAGAAGAGCTTTGTGGGGGTAAGGTGATGGAAAAATGAGTATGGCTTTGTTGAATTTGAGGAGCTTCTCCACCATCCAGATAGTGATGTCTAACAGACCACTGGGATTTAGGATTTGGCTGAGGCCAAAGGTAGATTTGGGAGCCCTGA
The DNA here is from genome assembly GCF_000001405.40 of Homo sapiens. Classification (NCBI taxonomy): domain Eukaryota; kingdom Metazoa; phylum Chordata; class Mammalia; order Primates; family Hominidae; genus Homo; species Homo sapiens. The sequence continues at coordinate 176,897,822 of NC_000005.10, read as the reverse complement.
CACAGCTATTAATGAAACCTTGGGAATGGGCGAGATAAAGGGAGTGTAGAGGGAGGGCATGACCGAAACTTGGGAACCCCATTGTCTGAAGGAACAGAAATTACTGATGAAGACTACGAGAGACTCAGGAAGGAGACCTAGGAGAGACTGGCCGTGAAAGCCAAGGACAGGGGGAATTCTGTAGCAAAGAGAATGACTACTGGCTTTGCATGCCTGAGAGAGGGCAGCAGAGGTGGGGACTGAGGAAAAGGCTTGGGATTGGGCAGTTAGGAGGTCACCAGTGACCACGTGGAGGGCAAATTAGTGAGCATAGTGGGAGTAGGCAAGGAGGGGAGTGTAGGGGTGGGAAGGTACTATATTTCCAGAAGTTCTGCTGTTGCAAGGAAGGGAGGTAAAGTGACTCAGTGGACAGATGTCTCTTCCCATATTGGGCCCTCTGCTGTGTTTCCCTTTTCCCCCACCCCTAAAGAGCACCTGACTCACTGAGGGCTCCCTTGGGACTATGGAAACAGCAATACCACCTCCAGCTCGGATGAGCGAAGTATCTGACATTTCTACAGTTCCTTACAGTGTGCAAAGGACCACTAACTCCTTTAATCCTCACAAGAACTGAGCTTTTCATGTTATAGAGGAAATGGAGAATCATAGAGTTTCAGTTCAGATTCAACTACATAAATCTGAATGCACATCTGAGCAAGTTCCTTTGCTCTCGTGATCTCATTTGCCCCACACAACCCTTTGATACATGTTGGTCCCATTTCACAGATGAAAAGCCTGGAGGTTGAGATGGGGTGCAGCTGCCTTGTGGAGAGCAGGGTTCCCACCTCTGAGTACAGGGCTCTTTCTGCTCTGCATCACTTCACTGTTAAAACCCACCTGATGTTTATGTTGCACACTACATCTCATAAAGCATTTCCCCAGGTGTTATTCTATTTAGTGCTCACAACAACCTTGTGAGGGTAGATATTATTTCCTCCTGTTTTATGGATGGAAGCTGAAATTCAAAGAAGTCATAAATGACGTCCAAGGTCAGGTCACTAGTGGAACCCCTTTCTGAAGCACAGATCCACCCCTGTCCATGACCCCTGTTGCCTTCAGGATGAAATTCATGTGCCTTAGCCTGGCACAATGGCTGTCCCTTTTCCAGCCTGCCTGCTTCTCTGGCAGGTCTTTGGTTCCCTCTTTGTTCCAAGCCTCTAGCATGTCCCTGACCTCCCAACCACAGCAGCATGTCCATCTATTACATGTGGCCATCTTGCTCACTGCCTGTGCTAATCATACTGTGATTGTTGATGAGACTGTGAGGTCCCTGAGGGCAGGGCCTAGGTCTGCTTCATCTGTACCACAACGTCCAGCATAGCAGGCATCAGGAACTGGTGAATGTCAATGAATGACAGAATTAACGAATGGCATTTGGACTGAAATCAGCCTTTCCAGTGCTCTCTCATTAGACATGCTTGTGAAAAACAAGGGCCTTCTGGTTGACTGCTACAGGATCTTTGATGGTTGGAGGTTCTGAATTCTGCTCCCAGCTTCCTTCCTGGTCCCCTTCAGAAGGAAGGAAGTTGGTCTGGGTTACAGACTCCTAGGGCCTATAGAGTAAATGGTTGACCCAGGTTGTCCCTTTTCTCCCATAGGTGGCCACCTTCCACTGTGGAAGCTCATGGACTCCATTGGGTCTTCAGGGTTGCGGCAGGGGGAAGAAACCCTGAGTTGCTCTGAGGAGGGCTTGCCCGGGCCCTCAGACAGCTCAGAGCTGGTAAGTTCAGCACTGGGTTCCTGTTTCATGCTTGTCTAAGGCCTTCAAGAGCAGCGTGACTGAAGCTGCCATGGGGCCCTGGGCTCTCACCCATGCAGCCCCTTTCCACTGAGCTTTTCATATCTGAGCTGGTAACGATCTCCTTTCATGCTCCAAACAACTGCAAGGTTGGGCTGATCATCTTACAGGTGATGAAGAGGGATATAGAGAAGTGTTATGACTTGAGTTTAAGACATGACAGGAGCTTGAGCTGAGGTGTTTCAGCTCCAAACATGTCATTTTTGCCACCTTGCCACACAGGTGCCGCTCCCGCCCCAAGTGGGTGACACAGTCTAGAGTGGACTTTCTCAGGGTTATCTGGTCAAAAGTTGTGTTCTTGAGACCTTTCCTTTCCCGCCTCTCCAGTTCCTCCTGCATGTCTCCCTCAATGTAGCCGCTACAATCAGGCACACAGACGATTTTAGTGCCAAACTCATGCCTGAGGCTTGCTCAGAAGTGAGTTTCTTCTTTTTCTGTCATCTTGACCAAGATTTAGAAGCTGTCTCATACCACACCCTTGAGCAGGAAACTCTTGTGTAAGCCATTTCATATCTCTTAGTCTCTGTTTCCTCATCAGTAAAATGGAGGAAAATAAAGTCTAATCCTCCCCACCCCCTGAAGGCTAATGGAGATAAAGGACTTGCCTATGGCCGGGCGCGGTGGCTCACGCCTGTAATCCCAGCACTTTGGGAGGCCGAGGCAGGTGGATCACCTGAGGTCAAGAGTTCAAGACCAGTCTGGTCAACATGGTGAAACCCCGTCTCTACTAAAAATACAAAATTAGCCGGCATGGTGGCACATGCCTGTAATCCCAGCTACTTGGGAGGCTGAGGCAGGAGAATCGCTCGAACCCGGGAGGCAGAGGTTGCAGTGAGCCAAAATTGTGGCAGTGCACTCCAGCCTGGGCAACAAGAGCAAAACTCCATCTCAAAAAAAAAAAAAAAAAAAGTCCGGGCGCAGTGGCTCAGGCCTGTAATCCCAGCACTTTGGGAGGCCGAGGTGAGCGGACCACAAGGTCAGGAGATCAAGACCATCCTGGCTAACACGGTGAAACCCTGTCTGTACTAAAAAATACAAAAAATTAGCTGGGCATGGTGGCAGGCGCCTGTAGTCCCAGCCACTCGGGAGGCCGAGGCAGGAGAATGGTGTGAACCCGGGAGGCAGAGCTTGCAGTGAGCCAAGATCGTACCACTGCACTCCAGCCTGGGTGACAGAGCGAGACTCTGTCAAAAAAAAAAAAAAAAAAAGGACTTGCATAGAGGAGGTGCCCACTAAAGGGTACTTGAGTCATTCTCTGCAGTTTCTTTAGTTTTCTGGCATATTCTGACATCCACTTGACTAGGCTTGTTGCCCAGATTGTGGAGGCATTACCCCTCGCTGCATTTCATGCTCCCACTTCCCCCTTGTCCAACCTGTACCCCAGACCCTGCTGCAGACAGTTCTTCTGTGCCTGACCCACAGCCGTGCCTCAGGAGTGACAGCGGTGGCTGGGCCACAGTGCCTGCCCAGCCAGGACTGGCTCTAGGGCCTGCTGTCATCTCCTCCCTCGCTTCTTGCCCCTCCCTGATGACACTCCTGTGCAGGCCCACATCTGCCCTGCTGGCTCCATCACATACACCTGCGGTTGAAAGAATCCCTTTCGGCTTTGGGGGACTTCACAGGGACACCAAATTTCCCATGGTCCTGGACCCCCAACTCAGCACCACAGGCCTTACCCTGTGCTCCCCTTGCCATGACCTTAGGTTGAAAAAAGTTAGTTAACCACGTGTGGCCAGTTCCCAGTACCATCTCAGAGGCCCTTCCCCACCCCTTCCACCAGGCTTCTCTTTGTCATCAGAGAGGGTATGGAGTCAGGCTCTCCAGGCTGGGTGTGCTTTGTGCTCTGAGGACAGGGAATCCGTGTTCCACTGAGCATCTCCTATGTGTGACACTGTTCCTCCACTTCAGGTTTGCTGTCGTCTCAGTCCTCATGGCATCTCTGAGAAGTAGGTACTATTGTTCCTGCTAGATAGAGGGGTTGCTTGCTCAGAGAGGTGAGGTGATGGGCCCAGGCCAGCAACACAGCAAGTTGGTGACAAGAGCCAGTGTTGAAACCACATTGGACTTCACATGCTCTCTAATGCCTTTCTCCTTGCTCTTCTGTCTGAGGTCTCTCCCTGCTCTTCCTGGGGTGTCAGGGGTGGCTCCGATAGCTTCTCCTGGCTTGTGTGTGCCTCACCAGGATCTGCCAGGGAAGTCCTTCTGTCTTTCTTGCAGTTCTGCTGTCTTCTAGTCTCTCCTCCCGAACATCTCAATATGCCCAAGAGGAAAAGGAAGAAAAACAATTTGCCCAAGCCATTGACTTCTCCGTGACTCTACTGTTTTCATGAAGCAATACTAAAACGCCCCTCCCATCCCAATGGCACTTGGCACTTCCACATACATTACAGCCTTTAATTCTTATGCCACCACAACCATCCAATCAACAAATCCTGCTTCCAGCTGGTGCTCCTCGTGGCCCTCAGATGTAGCCTTGAGCAAGACATAGTCCCTGGCATTGGGGGACTTCCAAGTACTATTATTTTCTCAGTTTTGCACGAAGAGGTGACTGAGGCTCAGAGAGAGGTGTGACTTTCCCAGGACTGCAGAGCCAGAAAAAGGGAGTGCGAGGACTCAGCTGTAAGTTTTCTCAAGCCGGATCATCTGGGGTTTCTTTCCAGCAACTTTCATCAGCCTTGAGTTCTTTTCAAGGGAACTTTCTAGGTTTTATAAAGCTTCACATTGACATAGAAACATCTCTGCATTCAGGTAGATATGGGTTCAAATTCTCCCCTGCCCCTTCACAGCTGCTTGGCCCTGCAGATGACTTGCCCTCTCGGAGTCTCCGTTTCCATATTTCTAACACTTGGGCAGCTGGGGCTCAGAGGGGCAAGGCTGAGACCCCGCCTGTCCTGCAGCTCTTTGACTTTGCTGCCCACTGCCTGAGTTCCTGGATGTGCAGCCTGTGAGCAAACAGGGTCTGCAGCTTGGCTTCAGCTTCTCTTTCCCTTGTCACCAGATAGGCCTGGTCAGGGTGAGATAGAGTGGGCATGGGCACCCCTAGCAGGCATGGCTGCTGGAAGCATGTGCTGTAAGGCAAACGTGTAAGTGGACATCTGGCACCCCAGTTAGGATGATTCGCCTTCTTAGGGATCTGTTTCCCATTCTCTTCCTAAAGCAAGAGGTGGGACTGAGTTGTCCTTATCTCCCTCAACTGGCAGCTTCTCCTCCCAGCCTCTCCTCCCTGGAGCGGCCTTATTATCCAGGTGCCTGAGTTGTTATTCCAAAGATAAGTGTCCAGTTTGGGGCAATAGGTCATTGAAATGGAACTCCTGTGTGACAGGAAGTGGGGGCTTTGGAAAGTCTGAGCCTGAGGAGGATGGAGTTGCCAGGCTGTGACCCTTCAATGAATCCAGGGAGGCTGTTGGGGCTTCTTTGAAGGATGGGTGAGAGAGTCATCTAGGGGAGGGTATTTGCTCACAGGGATGAGGTCCCTGGGGCTCTTAAGCTACTGGGCTTCTGGTGGAGTGACAGCCTGGGGTGTCCTGGCTTCTGCCTTCCCTGCCTTCTCACCTGCCCCTTCAGACTCCGATCCACTCCCGGATCAGTCTTCTCCAAATCCATCCCCTTGCTCTTCCCCTGGATCTTCGAATGGCTTGTTCCCTTCCTTCATTTAGATCACCTCCTCAGGGAAACCCTCTTGAACTCATATCTAAAAATACCTCTTTCTACCCTGGTCACTCTCTAATTTCTTATCCTGCCCCCCTACGTTTAATAGCCACCATCACTACTGGAACCAAATTGTATGTTCACGTGCTTAATTTCTGTCTCCCACCCTGGAATCTAAAGCATTTGTTGCTTCTTGGGTGGTTATGTGTGTGCGGTGCTTAGAATACAGCTGGGTGCATAGTGAGGGCTGGAGCAATGTTTTGGGAAGGATGACTGACTGAAAAAAGGACCATCCTCTGCAGTGTGGTCTCCAAATGCTCTCGTGCTGGGCTTTTTCAGGCTTCAGAGTCTGAGAGTGGATTAGGAGAGGGAAACACTTGAAGTTTGTTCGTGCATTTGTTTATTCTCTTGTTCGTTCAACAACAACTCACTGAGAGACTCTTGCTGTGGGTCCTGGGGAGCCAGAGAGCAATCATTAGTGGTATGGCAGGAAGAAGGTCTTGCCAAACCCTGAATTCAAAGAAGAGGAGGGGTAGGGTAGAGGATGTAAGAAATTGAGAAGGAGCCGTGAGGTAATGGGGCAGGAGGAGGAAGAAGGTGGGTTCTCTTTCCAGGACAGAGCCTTCTGAGGATGCCAGAGCTGGGTGCAGGCTGTTGGCAAGAGAGTCAGGGTGTATGAAGAGCCGAGGAGTGGGCTGGGCAGGGCAGGCCTCTGCCTTGTTTGGAGGTGGGGAGTCTGGCCAGCCCAATGGTGCTCCTTCCCAGATGTTGGCCTGTTTCTCCCCAGGTGCAGGAGTGCCTGCAGCAGTTCAAGGTGACAAGGGCACAGCTACAGCAGATCCAAGCCAGCCTCTTGGGTTCCATGGAGCAGGCGCTGAGGGGACAGGCCAGCCCTGCCCCTGCGGTCCGGATGCTGCCTACATACGTGGGGTCCACCCCACATGGCACTGGTGGGTATCATAGATTGAGATGCGTGGCCAGGCCTGGAAGAGGGTACTGATCTAGGGGAGGGAAACGTTCCTTATTCCTGTCCCCCATCTCTATGGCCCCTTGACCAGACTTTGCAGGCCTTAGGAATTTGGGAAGTGGGCAGAGGGCTCTGGTCTTGCCAGCTGCATGGCTTTCTGTGACCTGCTTGCCCTCCAGAGCAAGGAGACTTCGTGGTGCTGGAGCTGGGGGCCACAGGGGCCTCACTGCGTGTTTTGTGGGTGACTCTAACTGGCATTGAGGGGCATAGGGTGGAGCCCAGAAGCCAGGAGTTTGTGATCCCCCAAGAGGTGATGCTGGGTGCTGGCCAGCAGGTAAGCACTCACTGCCCAGCCTCTGGGGTCTGGGGGCCTGGCTGGGTGGCTAGGGCTCAGATGGGCAAGGCTGAGCCCCCCCACTTCTCCTGCAGCTCTTTGACTTTGCTGCCCACTGCCTGTCTGAGTTCCTGGATGCGCAGCCTGTGAACAAACAGGGTCTGCAGCTTGGCTTCAGCTTCTCTTTCCCTTGTCACCAGACGGGCTTGGACAGGGTGAGGTGGAGTGGACATGGGACGCTGGGTAGAGGGTGGCTGCAGCCCCATGAAGGCCGTCAGAGGAGTAACCCAGCTTCTCTACCTCCAGAGCACCCTCATTTCCTGGACCAAAGGTTTTAGGTGCAGTGGTGTGGAAGGCCAGGATGTGGTCCAGCTGCTGAGAGATGCCATTCGGAGGCAGGGGGTGAGTGGAGGGAGGGGTGACAGGAGGGCTGCCCATGTTGGCCTGGGCCTGGCACACATGCGTTGGGTCTGGGCTTCTGAGAGAGTTGCTTTCCTCTTCTCTTCATGTCCTCCATCCAGTTTAACCTCCATCCAGTTTAACCTATACATGGTACATGTTGCTACCATTCCCATTGTATAGGTTAAAAAACACTGAGGCTAAGAAAGGTCAAATAAACATTCAGGACCTGGGGCAAAAAAACATGAATAGACTTTGACCTCCTCCTCAAGGTTTTCACAGTCTAGATGGGGAAGCATTCTAATAAAAGATTGTCCGTGTCAAGGAGGAGTGCGTGGACAACTCTGGGAGCACTACGGAGGAAGCACTGGCTCTTTGATCAGGGGCTTGAAGGAGGAGTTTGCCTCCCTTCAAGTCAGGCTGGGGCTGGGGCGGATGATCTAGTCTCAGAGAAGGCCACACACAAGAGTCTGGATGCTGGACAAAGGCTGATCCGTCTGGGCTAACCTCTTGTGGTGAGAAGCCAGTGCTGGGAGGAACAGGCTTGGGGAGCCAGGCAGGATGACAGTGAGGCTGGCAAGGCGCAGAGTTCAAGGAGGTGCTCAGTCTCAGGAAACTCATCCTGGTCCTGGGAGATGGTGAGGGTGGACGTCACTGTGACCTGGGGGCGCAAGTTGGGGGTTAGGGAGGAGCTGAGGGTGGGATTGGAGGAAAAGTTCCTATAAGGTGGGAGCCCAGAGCATCTGTGGCACAAATGTGTGTGGCATGCAGACATGTGTTTCATGGACTCTATGTATCTCCTTCAAAGCCAGGGCCCCAGCCCTGCCCATCCCCTGGATTCCCTCCTCTGGCCACTCAGGCCAGCCTTGACCTCTGCCCTCTTCATCATCTAGGCCTACAACATCGACGTGGTTGCTGTGGTGAACGACACAGTGGGCACCATGATGGGCTGTGAGCCGGGGGTCAGGCCGTGTGAGGTTGGGCTAGTTGTAGGTGAGCCATGGACCATTTGTGATGACAGGTGGAGGGTGTGCTGCCTGGCTAGCAGGCCTTGACAGGGTTGTCTCTGCCAGACACGGGCACCAACGCGTGTTACATGGAGGAGGCACGGCATGTGGCAGTGCTGGACGAAGACCGGGGCCGCGTCTGCGTCAGCGTCGAGTGGGGCTCCTTCAGCGATGATGGGGCGCTGGGACCAGTGCTGACCACCTTCGACCATACCCTGGACCATGAGTCCCTGAATCCTGGTGCTCAGAGGTGACCTGGCAGGGGGCCCTGACCTTTGGTTCCAGGCCCTGTCTATGACTGCTCTGCTCCCAACCCCTTCTGTCCCTGTTCTCAGGCCCTTAGGCCCCTCCCTGTCACTCTGAGGGTCTCCAGGGAGCAACCTGGGGGCCCTGGCCAGGTTCAAAGAAGGAAGGGCCCAAAGTTCTAGAATCCAGAATTGTCAACCCTTGATCTTCCCTGTTCCTGACTCTGGCCTGCCCTGACAGTTTGGGGGTTGAGGGCTGGAAGTGGTTGAGCAAACTGCTCTCTGCCTTCCTTTGGGTCCTTCTTGTTCTCCAGGAGGCTTCTGAATGTAACCTATGTCAGAGGGGGCAGTGGGGTCTGGGCATACACCCACCTGTCCTCTGGGAGGCTATTCGTTGCTTCTGGAGTCTCCAGTTTGGGAGCCCCAAAGAAAAGAATCCTTCTTTGGGAACTCTTGGAGGTAGGGCCAGGTGGACTGAGGGCTTAGAAAAGGCTTCCTCCAGCCACCCTTCCCCCCTGCAGGTTTGAGAAGATGATCGGAGGCCTGTACCTGGGTGAGCTGGTGCGGCTGGTGCTGGCTCACTTGGCCCGGTGTGGGGTCCTCTTTGGTGGCTGCACCTCCCCTGCCCTGCTGAGCCAAGGCAGCATCCTCCTGGAACACGTGGCTGAGATGGAGGAGTGAGTCGGGGAGATGGTGGTTTAGTGGGGGATTCTTGGCTTGGAGGAAGGGGATGATACTCTGTTCCCAAGGTAGCCATGGGGCTTTAGTGGGATGGGGAGCTTCTGGGCTGAGCCCCAAACCACTTCCCTTTCCCCTCCAGCCCCTCTACTGGGGCAGCCCGTGTCCATGCTATCCTGCAGGACTTGGGCCTGAGCCCTGGGGCTTCGGATGTTGAGCTTGTGCAGCACGTCTGTGCGGCCGTGTGCACGCGGGCTGCCCAGCTCTGTGCTGCCGCCCTGGCCGCTGTTCTCTCCTGCCTCCAGCACAGCCGGGAGCAACAAACACTCCAGGTTGCTGTGGCCACCGGAGGCCGAGTGTGTGAGCGGCACCCCAGGTATTGTGGAAACGTGATCCGCATGATTAGTTGGCATGAACACGTGTGTGTGATACACACCCAGAGGGCCCTCTGGGATCACATGTGCAAGCCAGTGGACACGAAGGGCACTTAGGCAGAGGGAGGGCCAGACTGAGCTATGGGAGGCCAGAAGACATCCAAGGAGAGAAACGATGCTTCCCTTTGTGTGTGCAAGGGTGGAGGCCATGGCGACACGGGGGCGTATGGCTGGTGCACAGAACAGATTTCAAATTGAAGTGATAGGGGAGGCTGGCTATGGTGGTACACGCCTGTAATCTCAACACTGGGAGGCTGAGGTGGGAGGATCATTGGAGCCTGGGAGTTTGAGGTTACAGTAAGCCATGATCACTCCGTGGCACTCTAGCTTGGGTGAGAGAGCAAGACTCGATATCTACAAAAATAAAAAAAAAAAAGTGATGGGGCCTTGGGCTTCAGGAGGCCCTAGGGGTCTGGGGCCAAGCTGGGCACACCTGTATGTATCTGGGGGTCCAGGGCCAAGCCGTGCACACCTGTGTGTGTCTGGGGGTCCAGGGCCAAGCCGGGTGCACCTGTATGTATCTGTAGGTTCTGCAGCGTCCTGCAGGGGACAGTGATGCTCCTGGCCCCGGAATGCGATGTCTCCTTAATCCCCTCTGTGGATGGTGGTGGCCGGGGAGTGGCGATGGTGACTGCCGTGGCTGCCCGTCTGGCTGCCCACCGGCGCCTGCTGGAGGAGACCCTGGCCCCATTCCGGTTGAACCATGATCAACTGGCTGCGGTTCAGGCACAGATGCGGAAGGCCATGGCCAAGGGGCTCCGAGGGGAGGCCTCCTCCCTTCGCATGCTGCCCACTTTCGTCCGGGCCACCCCTGACGGCAGCGGTAAGGACCTGGCCTGAGTGTGGGACCGAAACATGGGCTCCTGGGGGTCCCAGTGTGTGCTGGGGCTGGAGCCACAAGCCCTATCCCGGCACTGAGGGTCTCTGCCCCCACAGAGCGAGGGGATTTCCTGGCCCTGGACCTCGGGGGCACGAACTTCCGTGTCCTCCTGGTACGTGTGACCACAGGCGTGCAGATCACCAGCGAGATCTACTCCATTCCCGAGACTGTGGCCCAGGGTTCTGGGCAGCAGGTACCCACAGCCTGAACCTTGATGTCAGAGGTGGGGAAGGGCTGAGCAGTGCCTACGCCTGACCTGTCCTGCCCCACAGCTCTTTGACCACATCGTGGACTGCATCGTGGACTTCCAGCAGAAGCAGGGCCTGAGCGGGCAGAGCCTCCCACTGGGTTTTACCTTCTCCTTCCCATGTAGGCAGCTTGGCCTAGACCAGGTGAGGGAGGGCCAAGAGAAGTGATTCCCAAGGGCCTCCTGCCCCCACATACCCTTCATGGAGTGGGCAGGAGGCAGGGGAAAAGGCTGGGCGGTGGCGGGTCTGGGGTTGGTGGTGGTGGCAGCACTGCTGGGCTGGGCTTGCACACAGCCTCAGTTTCCCCAGACAGGGTAGGCCCAGGGTTAGGGTCTGAACCATTTGGGAGCAGGTCAGGCCTAGACTGGGGCTGATCAGAGGACAGATCGTCCATTTTAGCTATAGCACTGGTGTGTGGGCCTCAGGGTCCTGCAGGAACCAGCATTTGTTCCTGTCTCTAGCAGGGGCTTGAGGTCGCTTGGGGTTTTTTTGGCCTCTCTCCTCCTCCTTTCTTTGTTTCCTTCTCAGTGCCTGGCTCAGTGTTGGGTGCATGACTAGGGTGGCAGAGTGCCAGGCACAGGCTAAGACACACATCCCTACTCAGCACACACTTTAGCTTGTTCTTACACAAGGATGAGGGACTTCTCAATGTGCACACCGGAAGCCTGTCACGGAAACAATACCTCCCGGGCCTCTGGTCCAAACTCCCAGGAATCTCCCTTTCAACATACCCAACTTCTGCTTGAAAGCCTCTTGCCAAGGAGCTCACTGCCCCTGAAGGCAACAGTTGCATTCTTAGACACCTGTGATCAATGAAAAGCTTCATCTCACCTACTCCAACCAGCCTCCATGTGATTTTCACCCCCTGCTCCTGCTCTGACCTCTCTCTGATATGCAACTCATTTTTTTTTTTGAGATGAAGTCTCACTCTGTCGCCCAGGTTGGAGTGCAATGGCATGATCTTGGCTCACTCACTGCAGCCTCCACCTCCTGTGTTCAAGCAATCCTCCTGCCTCAGCCTCCCAAGTAGCTGGGACTACAGGCACATGCCAACACGCCCAGCTCATTTTTAGTAGAGATGGGGTTTCACCATGTTGGCCAGGCTGATCTAGAAATCCTGATCTCAGGTGATCCGCTCACCTCAGCCTCTCAAAGTTCTGGGATTACAGGCGTGAGCCACCGCACTCCACCTGATATGCAACTCTGTACTCTGCTTTCTTTTACACGGTGGTCCTTTGGATGGTGCAGTGGGCCAGTCTTGCTGCTTGGCTGCTCTGCTCCAGGCTAAGCCTGCTCAGTCCTTTTGATTATTCCTTGTAAGATGTGAGAAGCAGGTGAGACTCCATGTGCAAATCGGGGGGCGGGGTGGGGGCAAGAAATATAGTCTTATTAATTTTCTGTAACTGAACTTAATTTCTGTGCTGAAGGCTGGGCGCGGTGGCTCACGCTTGTAATCCCAGCACTTTGAGAGTCTGAGACGGGTGAATCATGAGATCAGGATTTCAAGACCAGCCTGGCCAAGATGCTGAAACCCCATCTCTACTAAAAATACAAAAATTAGCCGGGCGTGGCAGTGTGTGCCTGTAATTCCAGCTACTCGGGAGGCTGAGGCAGGAGAATCACTTGAACCCGGGAGGCAGAGGTTGCAGTGAGCTGAGATTGTGCCATTGCACTCCAGCCTGGGCAACAGAGCAAGACTCCATCTTAAAAAAAAAATGTTGGGCCCACATTATTTTCAGGGGTGAAAACTTAACCAGTGTGGGGATTGCCTTCCCCAGGAGCCCCTTTGGCTCTGCAGCAGCCTTTGCTGTGCAGAATTTGCAGGGATGTGGGAACTCAGGGAGGTGCCCCGGGCCCTGCTCTTTGGGCACTTGCCTCTGCCACTTCCTCTCTTGAGTCTCGACACCTTCCTGTGCATTATCTGGGGAAGGAGGGCAGAGGCCTCCTCTGTTCTCAGATTTCTCAGATCCCTTCTGAACAGGGGTTCAGCCCAGTGGGGAGGGCATAGGACACCTGTCTCAGGAAGTCATCAGCAACCTGGGTCTGACTTCCCCCTTTGCCTCCCCTTCCCCACTCTAGGGAGAGCAGCCCACACAGGGCTCTTACTCATCATCTGGTCTCTCTCAAACGGGTTCTTTCTCTCACTCTATCACATTCTCTGCTTTCTGTTTTTGAGACAATGAGCCTAGGACAATAAAAAACGGGATAAAAGGACATATTATTGGAGGAAAACGTTGCTTACTATTTCTAAAATCTTCTGCCCCAAAGATTTCCTGACCTACCCTCCATGCTCCTCCTCTGAGCAAAGCAGTAATTTTCTCCCAACAGCTGTAGACTAATTCCTGCTCCCCCTGCCCCCTCCCTCAGAGGACGCACACTAAGAAAACAGCATTCCTTTCCAGGTAAAGTTGAGCCCCGTGTCACTAAGTTTAAGTCCCTTTTCTCACAATCTGGGCACTCAGCCTTCATCCTGCCCAGGGGCCTGGGTTCTGGCTTTTCCATTCCTCCTGCCCCTGCATTTGGAACACATGAGTGACTCGCCCATTGACACGGCTCTATCCCTGAAGCTGAGAATTCCTTCCTCTAGAGTAACTTGGAGTTCTTTCTGAAAGGGTGGGATCTGCTGTCATCTGGGCCTCTGAGCCTTCTCTGTCCTCCCCTGTCTCACACACAGCACTCACTTTACCAGCTCTGTTAATTCCTAACCCAATTACAAAGGGCCATTCCTTCCGGGCACACGTCTTAAAATGGCCAGACCCTCTGACTGTCTGGAACTAATAATGGAAAATGTAGGTTAGATGGTTATTAATAGGTTTTTGCACACCGAAAGCCTCCTGGGGAGTAGGGAGCGGGCAGAGGGCAAGGCCTTCAACCATACAGCAAAGTAGGCAAGGAATTGTGCTTGGGGAGGGTGGAAAGCCTAGGCTTGTGATGGATGCAGGTTTTGCAGAGGCAGAGTGAGCCTGAAGGGGCCTCCAGCTTCCTGCCACTTCCTCTCGGTCTCACCCCAGGGCATCCTCCTGAACTGGACCAAGGGTTTCAAGGCATCAGACTGCGAGGGCCAAGATGTCGTGAGTCTGTTGCGGGAAGCCATCACTCGCAGACAGGTAGGAGCCTGTTCTAGGGGTGCTTTGGGGCTGTGGCAGGCCTTGAGGGGAGCAAAGAGTCTCCTACTTTCTGAGGGGGGAGCCCTCTGCGGTAGAGACCTCTGGGTCCAGTGCTGGTTGCTGTGACGACCGCGTTGCCCAGCAACTAGCAGCATCCTTTTGTGTGCAGGCAGTGGAGCTGAATGTGGTTGCCATTGTCAATGACACGGTGGGGACCATGATGTCCTGTGGCTATGAGGACCCCCGTTGCGAGATAGGCCTCATTGTCGGTGAGGAGGGCCCTGCCCTTTCATGCCCCTACTGCTTGGCAATTTGCTGCCTTCTGTTGATTCCTCTGGTTGGATGTTTCCTTGGCGGTGGGGATGTGGGATTGCTCTGGTCTGACCCAGTAGGGCTCTGGAACAATCTCTTGGGCTGGCAGTTTGGAGCTTGGGTGTATAGTCCAGCTCAGTGACTGACTCATGGTCATTTAAGCTCTCTGAACTTCACTTTGCCCATCTGATAAATGAATCTGAGCTTTGGAGTTGTACAGATTTGGGTGGAAATACTAGCTTTGTGTTTCCACCTGTATGACCTTGGGCAAGTCACCAGAGCCTCAGTTTCCTCATCTCTAAGATGGAGATAAGAGTAACAATGCCTGTCTCAAGGCATCATGAGGATGAAATGGGAGGGGACAAAATACAGCATGGTCCCTGGCTCATGGTACACACCTGGTGTTTGGAGCTGGGCGGGGGCAGGGGACCAATGAGCAATGAGGGTCCTTCAGACAGTCCAAGATTCCATCCTTATTAAGCACCTACCCTGTGTCCACAGGGGACTGGACAGAGGAATAGGAAGACACATAAAACAAGAGGCAATTTCTGCCTTCTCAGAACCGACCACTCAGCAAGGGTTAAGCCCAGAACAACACGTAGCGGTCAGAGAGTGACTTGATTCTACACGTGGGCAGCAGCGAGGCCAAGATCAGGAAGGAGTGGGTCCCAGGATGAGTGGAACTTGAAAGCCCTGAAAGAAAGGATTTGGCTCTGTTGGGGAGGAGGGATCCCACAGCTCCTGGGGCATTGGTCTCTCAACACGAGGCATGTGGCAGCCTCTCTTGAGGGGGAGGTTTTTGAACCCAGCACCTGGCACGGTTAGGCACTTGGGAGAGGCATGCCCAGGTTGCTGTGTGCATAAACAGCTGGACAGAGGAGCTCCAGGTGGGGCCAGCAAGGAGCCCACCTTCCTGGAGCTGAAGCTGTGTCAGAGAAAGGAAGGAGACGCCCTCATCCAGGGTGCGTCCTCTGCCTGGAATGCCTTTTTCTTTCTGTGCTTCTTGGATTCAGTCACTTCCTCTCTGTTGCTTTCCTGATCCTGTTGGCAGAGACTCGCCCCGTGGTCTGGGCTCCCACGATGCTCTCCTTGGTGCTTCCACGGGGGCACAGAGGCTCTGTCAGAGCTGGCTATTCATTGCCTGACCTCTGGCCAGACTGTGGGGCTCCTCGTCTCTGATTTCTCTGTGTCCCCTGCTCTTGGCCCAGCACCTCTTAGTTGGATTAAGGGCCTGGCAGGCCGGTCCAGGGAGCTTCGGCCTCTCAACCGCAGAGAGCTAGGGGCGAGGGCGGGGGATGTCACATGTCTCCCAGGGGAATGACAGGACAGCTGGGCATTGTAGGAGCACTTGGGGGTGGCATGGTGGATGCACTGATGGTGATGTTGGTGGGAAAGGCAGTGAAGGTCCCCAGGGCTTGGAGCTGGCAGGGTCTGCACGAGGGATGTCGGGAAGGAAGAAGGACCAGGACCAGGGACAGGCTGTGAGCATGAGAGGTAGAGAGAGTGAGCCCGAATCGTTGCCATCTCGGTATGGGAAGTGCTCAGAGGGTCCTTGTCTACATCAGTAAGTAGCTTCCACGTTGTCTGGCCTCTCTGCAGGAACCGGCACCAATGCCTGCTACATGGAGGAGCTCCGGAATGTGGCGGGCGTGCCTGGGGACTCAGGCCGCATGTGCATCAACATGGAGTGGGGCGCCTTTGGGGACGATGGCTCTCTGGCCATGCTCAGCACCCGCTTTGATGCAAGTGTGGACCAGGCGTCCATCAACCCCGGCAAGCAGAGGTGTGGGCTGGGCCCAGGCAGTGGTGGCTGGCTGTGACCGGTGCTGGGGATGGTGGCTGGTGGGGCCTTCTGCCGAGTGCACACATGTTCATGCAGGTTTGAAAAGATGATCAGCGGCATGTACCTGGGGGAGATCGTCCGCCACATCCTTTTACATTTAACCAGCCTTGGCGTTCTCTTCCGGGGCCAGCAGATCCAGCGCCTTCAGACCAGGGACATCTTCAAGACCAAGTTCCTCTCTGAGATCGAAAGGTGCCTGAGGCCTACATTGCCTCCCCCACTTCAGGGGGTCTTTCTGTCCACTGTGGGGGATTGCTGGCCATGGGTGGTGACGAGGTCTGCTCTGGAGGATGAAGTGGGAGAAGTCACGACCCACCTCCCTGTGCTCTCTTCCTTCCTGGCCCCCAGTGACAGCCTGGCCCTGCGGCAGGTCCGAGCCATCCTAGAGGATCTGGGGCTACCCCTGACCTCAGATGACGCCCTGATGGTGCTAGAGGTGTGCCAGGCTGTGTCCCAGAGGGCTGCCCAGCTCTGTGGGGCGGGTGTAGCTGCCGTGGTGGAGAAGATCCGGGAGAACCGGGGCCTGGAAGAGCTGGCAGTGTCTGTGGGGGTGGATGGAACGCTCTACAAGCTGCACCCGCGGTGAGTCTGGGTGTGCGGGCTGGGGAGGGAGGTGTGGCCAGGTGGGGCTGGTGGCCTGGGCTCACCTCAGCCCTCCTCTCACAGCTTCTCCAGCCTGGTGGCGGCCACAGTGCGGGAGCTGGCCCCTCGCTGTGTGGTCACGTTCCTGCAGTCAGAGGATGGGTCCGGCAAAGGTGCGGCCCTGGTCACCGCTGTTGCCTGCCGCCTTGCGCAGTTGACTCGTGTCTGAGGAAACCTCCAGGCTGAGGAGGTCTCCGCCGCAGCCTTGCTGGAGCCGGGTCGGGGTCTGCCTGTTTCCCAGCCAGGCCCAGCCACCCAGGACTCCTGGGACATCCCATGTGTGACCCCTCTGCGGCCATTTGGCCTTGCTCCCTGGCTTTCCCTGAGAGAAGTAGCACTCAGGTTAGCAATATATATATATAATTTATTTACATTCACGCCCGATAAAACCCCTATGTGCCCCGGCGGCCGGGCAAGGCTGTGTACATAAGGCCAAGAGTAAGTGCGTGAATGCACTTAAGACAAAGTCAGGACACGAGCTTCACATGACAGGCCCCGCGTGGGGCACCAGCCAGCCCTGGGGACGGGCACGCCACGCCACACACACACTCACCACTGTACAGCCTGGGACTCCCATTGCATATTCACAGGCCCCGCCGGGCAGGGCACCTCAAGGCTGGGGGAGGGGCAGGGGCAGGGAGGAGCCGTGGGGTGTCCCTGGGTGGGTGGAGAGGGCAGCATGTGAGAGGCAAATGTGCACCAACACTGGGCGTGAGACGTGAGCAGCCTCAGGTGTACAGCATGAGATGTGTGTGGTTGGGGGGTGTCTGCGTGACCCGGGAGGGGGGTGTGTGTGAGATGAGCACACGAGGCATGCGTGGCACGTGCTCGTGTGGTGGTCGTGTGCCTGAATCCAGGGGCTACCCCCTGTCCGGCTGTGGCCCTCGGTCCTGCAGGCTTGGAGCAGGGCCCCTCAGACGTGCCCCTACCCAGCAGGCACAGAAATGTTTGCATAAGGTCCAGCTCAGGCAGGAGCTCTGGGGCCCTGGCCCAGGCCCAGTGTGTGCGTGCATGGCCGTGTGTATGCGGGGCCCCTGGAGAGGGACGGGAGGAGAGGTAGCATCACACGCACATACACACACACAGATGGGCTGGGCCTGGCCCAGGCTCCAGGCACTGTCCCTCCTGGGCCCTGGGGCCGAGTGTGAGTGGCAGTGCCAGCCTGGCTAGGCAGGCCATGGAGAGGTGGGAGTTCGGGCAGGGTCTGAAGGACCAGCATTAAGGGACAGCTTCGGCCGGGAGGGGGCCTGTCCGAGCAGCTCTCCCCGGTGTGGGGAAGGGCCCCTGTCCGGCTTCTGCCTGTCCTTGGTGGGTGCCAAAGCTGGTGAGAGTGTAGGTGTCGGGCCTGGCCGGCCTCAGCACTCAGCCTCCGACACTGTGAAGAGGCCAGCGTCTGGCTGGCCCAGTCCAGCCACTGCTGCAGCCAGCTGGCTGAGGTTGCCGTTGGGGAAGTGCCGCGCCTCCCACAGGTTGAGGATCATGGCTGTGGGGCTGGGCTTGGAGGCAAAGAAGCTGAGATGGCTGTGGAGGGGAGGGGGGCCGTCAGCAGCCTGGCCTGGCCCCAGCCGACACCTCCTGCCCCCCCTGGCCCACCCCAGGGCAGGGCCTCCCCGAAGCCAAACACAATGACTGCCCCGGCCACTAGTAGATGCGGCACAGGCCCCACAGGGCCTCCTGTCCACCTCACCCACCCCGCCGCCGGGCAGGACTGTCGGTGGCCTGCGCAGGCCCTCTCTGCCCCTCTCCCGCCCACCTGTCCAGGTGG
Source organism: Homo sapiens (assembly GCF_000001405.40). Classification (NCBI taxonomy): domain Eukaryota; kingdom Metazoa; phylum Chordata; class Mammalia; order Primates; family Hominidae; genus Homo; species Homo sapiens. The sequence continues at coordinate 176,879,476 of NC_000005.10, read as the reverse complement.
AGTTTCTGGGCCAGAGTCCGCCAGTCGGCACCCCGCCTACAGGGTGGGTCCAGGCTGGAAATTATCTTCTGCCGAATGAGGAAGGGGATCTTGAAGGCACTGGGGCCCACCAGGGCTGGGACCCCCGCTTCACTCTCCAGAGCCAGCAGCTCAGCAAACCTTGTGTCCTGGAGGTGGGAGGGAAAGAGGTGCCTGTTAGAACTTTCCCCAGGCCCGGGTCCACCGCCACCTCCTGCTGGGGGAGCTCCCAGACTCCCCCAGAGCATGGGGGCGGCATGAGCACTGGTACTTCCTGGGCACCTCCCATGTGCCAAGGCCCTTCTTACTGGGGCTCGGAGGTGCAGCGACCTGCCCAAAGCCACATAGCCAGAGAGCAGAGGAGCCCTCTGTGGCCTCCCTCCCTCTCCGCCCTTCTCCCCTCCAAGTCACTCTGCCCAGCCTCTGCTGACACTCAACACACACAGCTCTCTTCACGGCCTGAGTCCCCCCTGCCCAGCTCTCACCGCCAGAAATGCTCTTCCCCTTAATGCCGCAGCCAAACTGGCTCATTCTTTGGGGCCCAGTACAAAGCCCCTCCTCAGGGAAGCCCTCCAGGGTCTCCCCTCCTGCTGCTCCCATGTCCCCTGCACTCCCCTCCCCAAGTCCCATTTGCACCTGTGCCTCCCTGTCTCTGAGTCTGGGAGGAAGCTGCCAAGGGGTTTCTAGGAGGAGGTGGGCCTGGGGACAGGCGGGAGGGAGAGTGGGTGGCAGGGCAGGCAGGGCAGGAGCGTTTTGGGGGCTGGTGGGGAGTTGGTAGTGGGAGCACGTCACGGCGGTGCGGCAGCCCCTCCCGTCCACCTTGGTGATGTTGAAGTTGATGCTGAAGCTCTGCCCGTCGCCCTCCACCTGCCACACCCACAGCTTGCAGGCCAGGTCACTAGTGCTGGGGCTGACACGCTCCAGGGTGAAGGTGCAGTGCAAGTACCGCTGCGTGCCATTCCAGATGTGATAAAAGGGGATCTCCTGATGGGGATGCAGAGAGGAGGTGTCAGGTGAGCCCAAGCTCCAGGCCTCTTGTGCGCTGGCCACGGCCCTGGCCCTCACCTGGTAGCTGACAAGGAGCTTACTCTTCCACAGGGAGCTGGGCACATCGTGGATGGATAGGCGCAGGTTGTGGTAACTGTCCTTGAAGTGCAGGACCCGTGGCTCCTGGATCAGCTGTCCCCCCAGCTGCTTCTCCAGCTGCACCACCTCCTGCAGTGCCCCAGGTGGTCAGCCCAGGCCCCTCCCCACTGCGCCCAAGGCAGGCAGTCCACAGGGCCAGGCATAGCTCGGCCTCCCAGCGGCGGGGGGTGAGGGGCGGGAGATACCTTGAGTGCATCGTGGGTGTCATGCAGGCAGTAGACCCGGATGTTGTACTCGAGGGAGGTGCAGGCCACCGGCGCAAACAGAAGCAGCTTGAGGCGCTTGGCGGCAGCCACGCTGAGGGCCTCTCCCACCAGGGCAAAGCGGCCCAGCTGCTCGGTGAAGACGTAGCAGGCACTGGCCTCCAGCTGGCAGTAGTAGAGGTGGGAGGGCGCCTCCTCGCCCAGGTGCAGCACATCCTGTGGGCAGGGGTCAGTGGGTCAATTCGGCCCAGCCTCAGAGCCCTAGGGCCAGCTGTGGCTTCAAGAAGTGGCCGGAGACTGGGGAGGGGTGGGGGTGCGGCTCAGGACCACCCAGCGGTGGAAGGCCGGGTGGAGCGTGCAGTTAGCCCACGTTCCCTTCTGGAGCCCGGGTCAGTTCCCTGCTCACCTCCCAGCTGCCCTCGCACGACTGCTTTTTGAGGCGCAGGCTCCAGCTGTCAGGGCTGGGCTCCCCACAGTGGTCCATAGCCAGGATGACTGGCCGGGTGAGCAGGACGCCAGGGGGTCCACAGCTAACGATGGGACTCAGCAGGGTCTGACAGCCAGCTAGGGGCAACCTCAAGTGGGGAAATATGGGTGGGGAGGGAAAGGTGTCAGTGGCCCATCCTGGGTCCTGAGGGCTAGGCCAAGGGCAGGGCAGCAGCATCCCAGGGGCCAGGGGCTTGGGCTGCAGGACCACGTGGGGCTTAGGCATAGCTCTTTCCCCCGCCGCCTCGGGCCAGGCACAACAGTGGGTGGGCAGGGGGCTTCCTGGGGACCGAAGGCAGCAGGCAGGTCCCTCCCACCCCCGGCAACAGGGCCCGCGGCCACACCTCACGTCTTCCGGCTTGTGCAGCGTGAGGTAGATCTCATAGATCTTCCCTCGGGGTATGGCATCTGGGGGGATGAGGAGGCTGATTCCTGGAACGGCAGGAAGAGGGCCAGGGCTTACCCACTGCCAAAGCACCCAACACCCCACCACACAGCCCCTCCAGGAGCCTTCCTGTGAGGACTGACTGGTGCCAGCCCGGCCTGGGGACAGAGGGGCCTCAAAGACTGCCGTGCTGACCAACCACCCCCACAGGCATGAAGCTGAGTCAGGGGCACCCCATGAGCAACTGAGGGAACCCAGGTGGGGAAAGCATGCCTGGCTAGCTCAGGCACAGAAAACTTGGGGACAGAAGGTATGCGGTACCGACCTCCCTTGTCCCCTGAAAGGCACTGGAGGGGACCAGGGTATCCCTTGCTTAAAACCTTCCCTGCCCCCGGATGAAGTCCAGCTCCCTGGCCTGGCATTGAAGGGCCTTTGCCTCTGGCCCCCACTGCCTCTCTAGCCCAGCCAGTGCTACAAAGTTGGTGGTTCTGGAACCACTGCCTGAGCCCCCACTGCCCTCCCGTCCTGCTCCAGCTCCCCTCTCCCTTGCTCCTTCTACTCTCTGCCATGCCATGGTCCCTGCAGGTGGGGTGGGTCTTGAATAACCTATCTCCTGGGCTGGATGCCCTCCCGTCGGCTGGCTTGCCTCTGCTCCAACGTCTTGGAGGAGCAGGATCAGCGTGTGAGTGGAGAGGGGAGTGGTTCAACAGGGAGATGGTGGGACAGGATCCGGCAAAGACGGGGGCCAGGGAGTCCCTCTAGAGGTGGTGAGCAGGGACTCCCCCAGACAGGGAGCCCTTACATGAGGAGGGGCTCCCAGCTCAGGACATGGGGAGGGAGAGGAATTCCATGACTTTACCCCACCAAGTCCAAAAGCAAATGCACACTCCCTCGTGGGCAGCGCAGAGCAGGGCTGGGCTGGTATCACCGTTTCACCGGAGAGGGCAGAGTCACAGCCACTGCTCCCTTCACTGGCCTGCACTGCCCCGCGGTCCCAGCTGTAGTGTTGGTGACAATGCCAGACATCCTCGCAGGAAGGCTCTCCATGGGGAAGGTACACGCACTTACATCCTCATTCATCAACTCCTAATGCTGGGTACTCAGGACGGCGAAGGAAAACCACAGACCCCACTCTCATGAAGTTCTTAGCCCAGCAGGGGAGAAGGACAAGTCAACCACAGCACAGGATGCGGGGGAAGTGGCAGCCACCCCCCGGCCTGGGGAGCGAAGAGCAAGGGCTGCCGGGCCCCACTGTTCGCCTGCGTCTCTGTAAGAGCTGACAGATGCCGTCTCACCTCGTCATCCCAACAGCCCCATGAGGGGTTCGTTATCATCCGTGTGGACGTGAGGCACAGACGGCAAGAGCTGTCAGGCGGGGACCCAAAAGAGAAGTCCCAGCTGAGCTGGTGGGAGGGGCAGGGGGTCGGTGCATGCAGAGGGCAGCACCGTGTGTCGGGGATGTTGAGTCCATGGTGGCTGCCGTGTGCGGGACGATGTGTGTGAGGGAAGAGGCTGAAGCAGCTGGCCTGCAGGGGACAGGTCTTCTCTGTGGTATCATGTGGGCTTTGCAGGGGGCAGAGGGGAGCCCAGAAGGGATTCGAGCACGAGAGGGTCATGATCAACTCTGGCTTCATTTGGTGAAGTTTTACAGCAAGGAACCAGGTAAGGGGTTTGGTGGCCCGTGTCAGGAGAGGCAGCAAGGGAGGACAAGAGCAGGAGGTGGCAGGAGCTATTGAGGAGGGACTGGCGTGGGACTGAAGCTGGCGGGGGGCAAGAGAGGACGAGCAGCAGGTCAAGGTGACCCCAAGTTTCCGGCTTGAGCAACTAGACGATCCGTGAACTGGGGGAAGCCAGGAATGGGGAGGCTCTGGGGGAGGGTGGGAGACGGTTCTGTTTTAGGCACCAGGAGTCTGAGGTGATGTGAGACATCCAGATGGAGCTGGCCAGGAGGCAGCTGGGTGTACAGTTCTGTCGCCCGGGAGAACTGCAGGCTAAGGATGGGGGAGTGGGAGTTATCTGCACAGACACGGCGATTAAAGCCATGGAGTGGGCGAGGCCGCTCGGGGAGAAGGGCACTGGGAGGGAGCTCGGAGGCACACCTACATTTATGGAACAGGCAGCTGGAGAGGGGCAAGCAAACCAGGAGCGCATGGGGTCATCTAAGCTGAGGGACTTGGGAATTTCGGGTGGGAGTGGCCAGCCATGCCAGAGGCTGCAGCCACTTCTTGCAAGGCAGCCATGGAAAGAGTTCTTCAGAGGGTTTCGGTGCTGGGGTGGGTGGAAGCCAGGATGCAGTGGGGACTCCAGGATGGCCTCTGCCCAGGCCCGTGCTCATCTGTTTGCCCTTGGTTGTCTCCCTGCTCAGTTGCAAGCTCCTTGGGGCCGGGGCTTGCCCTACCTCTGGGCCCAGGGCCCCACATGGAGACTGGAACAAGTAGGCTGCTTGGCTGTGTAAATGAATGGACAATTACCTTGTGCCCACAGGCAACAAGAGGAAGACAGCTCTGGCCACGGCCTCGGTGCCAGCCAAGACTGGGTTCTCCCCAAAACTCCACCCCCTTTCCTTGCTGATCTGTCACGGGACACCGAGGGGCACGAGAGGAACGTCCGGCTGTCCCGTCCTCCTCCAGGAGGGAAGTGGAGCTCTCAGAGCCCCCTGGGGTCCTTCCTACCTGTATTAGGGATCATCAGCCGGCCCCCGAGGAAGTTGAAGGTCCCATAGGTCATGTTGCTGGTGCCTCGGGGCAGGGAGCGGAAGTAGTTCTGGGTGGAGAGGCGGGAGACGAACTCCTCGGCCTCAGAGGTGGGAGAGCTGTGGTGCAGTGTGTGGCGGCCGCCACCCAGGGGGCTGAGCAGGTGCCCATTGGTGAGCTGGAACTTGGGGCTGGGCCCATCCTGCCGGGGACAGAGACTGCCCTGGTAGGTGGTGGTGGTGGTGCTGAGGTCCGGCTGGATGGTGAGCAGATGGGGGTTGTCTGCAGGATAAAGACAGACTCAGGCAATGGCACCTAGGGCATCCCTGCCCCAGCAGCCCTTGGCGTGGGAGCTGGGGCAGGAGTGCTGGGGGCACGGGGCCCCTCACCTGCTTTGCTGGGCTTGATGCTGACGGGCTGGAAGCCTGAGGTGAGAATGGACGAGTCAGCCACATCTGAGTCCAGCCCCTCCTTCTTCCGGCAATAAACGAGGATGAGGACAAGCAGCAGCAGGACCAGGCAGACGGCCACGGCGATGAGGCCCACATAGAGGGCCACGTCCTCAGGGCCAGAAGCAGCTGCGGGAGACAGCATGGCCTTGGTGGGGGCAGGGGTGTAGGAGTCTGGGAAGGAGAGGTCAGTGGTCTGCACCCCAGGAGGATGAGGTCTGCACCCCGGGGCATCTGCACTAGCTAGGGAGCAGACGCTTGTGGCAGGGAGCATGGAGTCCGTGCGTGTGCATCCCAGCCCTGTATTTGCCATTACTGTGCTGTGTGACTCTGAGCAAATCACATTCCTCGTGGGCTTGAGATCCCAGCTGAGTCTGCTGCCTGGAGGATGCAGGAGGGGAAGAGCTACTTCCCCAGAGCGGATAACCTGGTGCCTGGCTGCTAGGTTGAACCTGCTGCCTGCTCTTCTGGGACAAGGGCAGCTTGGGCTGGGGGTGAACTCCTGGGATCCCCAGAGCACAGGGTCTGCCTCCTGTGTGGTTCCAGGTCAGTGCCTAGACCAGGAGCAGGGGTTTGGGGGCCCTTCTCTCTGTCTGCCTCCCCAAGGCCTGGGGCAGGTCTGGGGAGGGGGTGATTGACTGCTTGGAGGAAGCTATATTGATTTTAGAAGGGTTTTGCATAAATGGAAGAAATGTCCATCAGAAAGGAATTGACACAGATAATTAGGTTTTTAATTGAAAGAATGGGGGAGGGTATGTTCTAGAGGAAAAAAAAAAATCCAACAGAGATCTTTAATTGTTAGTTATGGCCTTGTAATTAACAGCCCTCACAAGCCCGGCATTCCCACAGGACCTGTATGTGCACTTGGGGGACCAGGCAGATGGGAAGCTGTGGTGTTGGGCGAGTGTGGGCAGATGGGAAGCTGTGGTGTTGGTGAGTGTGGGCAGATGGGAAGCTGTGGTGTTGGGTGAGTGTGGGCAGATGGGAAGCTGTGGTGTGGGGTGAGTGTGGGCAGATGTGAAGCTGTGGTGTTGGTGAGTGTGGGCAGATGGGAAGCTGTGGTGTTGGGTGAGTGTGGGCAGATGGGAAACTGTGGTGTTGGGGCAGGTGTGGGCAGATGGGAAGCTGTGGTGTTGGGTGAGTGTGGGCAGATGGGAAGCTGTGGTGTTGGGTGAGTGTGGGCAGATGGGAAGCTGTGGTGTTGGGGCAGGTGTGGGCAGATGGGAAGCTGTGGTGTTGGTGAGTGTGGGCAGATGGGAAGCTGTGGTGTTGGGGCGAGTGTGGGCAGATGGGAAGCTGTGGTGTTGGGGCAGGTGTGGGCAGATGGGAAGCTGTGGTGTTGGTGAGTGTGGGCAGATGTGAAGCTGTGGTGTGGGGTGAGTGTGGGCAGATGGGAAGCTGTGGTGTGGGGTGAGTGTGGGCAGATGTGAAGCTGTGGTGTTGGTGAGTGTGGGCAGATGGGAAGCTGTGGTGTTGGTGAGCGTGGACAGATGGGAAGCTGTGGTGTTGGGGCGAGTGTGGGCAGATGGGAAGCTGTGGTGTTGGGCGAGTGTGGGCAGATGGGAAGCTGTGGTGTTGGGGCGAGTGTGGGCAGATGGGAAGCTGTGGTGTTGGGCGAGTGTGGGCAGATGGGAAGCTGTGGTGTTGGGCGAGTGTGGGCAGATGGGAAGCTGTGGTGTTGGGGCGAGTGTGGGCAGATGGGAAGCTGTGGTGTTGGTGAGTGTGGGCAGATGTGAAGCTGTGGTGTTGGTGAGCGTGGACAGATGGGAAGCTGTGGTGTTGGTGAGTGTGGGCAGATGTGAAGCTGTGGTGTTGGGCGAGTGTGGGCAGATGGGAAGCTGTGGTGTTGGGGCAGGTGTGGGCAGATGTGAAGCTGTGGTGTTGGTGAGTGTGGGCAGATGGGAAGCTGTGGTGTGGGGCGAGTGTGGGCAGATGGGAAGCTGTGGTGTGGGGCGAGTGTGGGCAGATGTGAGGCTGTGGTGTGGGGTGAGTGTGGGCAGATGGGAAGCTGTGGTGTGGGGTGAGTGTGGGCAGATGTGAAGCTGTGGTGTTGGTGAGTGTGGGCAGATGGGAAGCTGTGGTGTTGGTGAGTGTGGACAGATGGGAAGCTGTGGTGCTGGGGCGAGTGTGGGCAGATGGGAAGCTGTGGTGTTGGGGCGAGTGTGGGCAGATGGGAAGCTGTGGTGTTGGGGCGAGTGTGGGCAGATGGGAAGCTGTGGTGTTGGGCGAGTGTGGGCAGATGGGAAGCTGTGGTGTTGGGGCGAGTGTGGGCAGATGGGAAGCTGTGGTGTTGGTGAGTGTGGGCAGATGTGAAGCTGTGGTGTTGGGCGAGTGTGGGCAGATGGGAAGCTGTGGTGTTGGGGCAGGTGTGGGCAGATGTGAAGCTGTGGTGTTGGTGAGTGTGGGCAGATGGGAAGCTGTGGTGTGGGGCGAGTGTGGGCAGATGGGAAGCTGTGGTGTGGGGCGAGTGTGGGCAGATGGGAAGCTGTGGTGTTGGGGCAGGTGTGGGCAGATGGGAAGCTGTGGTGTTGGTGAGTGTGGGCAGATGTGAAGCTGTGGTGTTGGTGAGCGTGGGCAGATGGGAAGCTGTGGTGTTGGGGCGAGTGTGGGCAGATGGGAAGCTGTGGTGTTGGTGAGCGTGGGCAGATGGGAAGCTGTGGTGTGGGGCGAGTGTGGGCAGATGGGAAGCTGTGGTGTGGGGCGAGTGTGGGCAGATGGGAAGCTGTGGTGTGGGGCGAGTGTGGGCAGATGGGAAGCTGTGGTGTGGGGCGAGTGTGGGCAGATGGGAAGCTGTGGTGTTGGGGCAGGTGTGGGCAGATGGGAAGCTGTGGTGTTGGTGAGTGTGGGCAGATGTGAAGCTGTGGTGTTGGTGAGCGTGGGCAGATGGGAAGCTGTGGTGTTGGGGCGAGTGTGGGCAGATGGGAAGCTGTGGTGTTGGTGAGCGTGGGCAGATGGGAAGCTGTGGTGTGGGGCGAGTGTGGGCAGATGGGAAGCTGTGGTGTGGGGCGAGTGTGGGCAGATGGGAAGCTGTGGTGTGGGGCGAGTGTGGGCAGATGGGAAGCTGTGGTGTGGGGCGAGTGTGGGCAGATGGGAAGCTGTGGTGTGGGGCGAGCGTGGGCAGATGGGAAGCTGTGGTGTTGGGCGAGTGTGGGCAGATGGGAAGCTGTGGTGTGGGGTGAGCGTGGGCAGATGGGAAGCTGTGGTGTGGGGTGAGCGTGGGCAGATGGGAAGCTGTGGTGTGGGGTGAGCGTGGGCAGATGTGAAGCTGTGGTGTTGGTGAGTGTGGGCAGATGTGAAGCTGTGGTGTTGGGTAAGTGTGGGCAATGGGTGTGCATGAATCAAGGTTCAAATCTGTGCCCGTCTCAGGAGGCATGGGAGGTGGTGGGGCGCGCCTGGGCCCATGTGCAGGTATGCTAAGGATGAGGGGGATCTCAGTGGGTCCTGAGCCTGGAGAGGCTACAGCCTTTGGCAGGAGAATAGCTCCCTCAGCCCCCACCTCCCCAGGGCTGGGCAAGGCCAATCCAGGCAAACAGAAGAGGACCTCAGGGCAGAGAGGACTCACTGTGTACACAGAGGTCACTGGTACAGTTGCGGGTGTCCAGGTCAGTGCCCTGGCACTCCTCCCCTCCGTTGCGGGGTGCTGGGTCAGAGCACTCACGGCTCCGCCAGTGGGTGCAGTCCAGCCCACAGGCCGACCACTTGCTCCACGGGCTCCAGCTGCCGTCCACTAGATGAGAGACAAGCAGAGAGGAGACGGTGCGGTCAGCCTGGGAGCCCACCCCGGCAGTCTGCCAGTGTGGCCCCTCTGGGCAACCAGACCAGGCAGTGCAAGGCAGCCTGGATTTGGGTGCAAAGCCAGGGCCAGGCCCACGATGCACGCCCTCTAGTGTCCAGCTGGCCTTGATGACGCATGCTAATGACAGGGAGGCGCGGATGACGCCAGGGGCTGCTTGGCTCTCTCCACACCAGGGAGGCTGTCCTGGCCCTGGGGCAGCGAGGGCTCTCTCGTCACACGTTGACCCTTCTGAACCCAGGGACAAGTGGACTCTGCAGCCCTGGGCTGAGCCCTAGACCCTGTCAAACTGTACCTCACACCCTGTGACTTACACCCTATGTTGAGCCCTGACATTGGACACAGATCGAGCCCTGACTCCAACCATACACCGCACCCCGATCCCCGCCTCAGACTGAGCCTGGCCCTGCGTGGCGGGTGGGTGGGATGGAGCCATGGGGGGGCAGGCTGGTGGGCGCGATGGAGCCAGGGCACGGAGATGGCGTGGTGAGGAACGATGCGGGAGGCGGTGGCCGCTGGTACCTGGGCACAGGGTGGCGCAGGCTGTTTTCTGGACATTCTGCCCCTCACAGAAAGCGCCCCCGTTGAGAGGCGCCGGGTTGGTGCAGCTCCGGCTCCGTTTCTGCCAGCCGCGCCCACAGCTGGCGCTGCAGACGGACCACTCGGTCCACGTCGACCACCCACCGTTCACTGGCCGGACAGAGAAGGACTGGGGTCAGGGAGCGGGGGCGTCCTCAGATACACTGGCCCAGGGGACGGGGCGTGAGGGCAGAGGGGCTGTGAGCTGGACACGGGTGGGCTGTGGCTGAGCTGGGAGAGAAGGCCTGGGGGAGGCCATGCTCGTGCCTGCTGGCCCCCGGGCCCTGCAGCACGCACGCCACAGTCTTCCCTTCTCCCAGGGGGCACTCGGGGTAGCCAGGCTGAACCGCGGCTCACACACTCCTGCAGCCCAGACCCCAGCCTCTCCTGGGGTGACTCCCGCACCCTCCCTCTGCTGGCTCCTGGGGGTGCCTGGACTGTGTGGCTTCTGATTCCCCCCTTGGAGACTCAGGAGTGGGGACAGCCTGTCACCTTTCCTAGATTCCCATCCTGTCCCTCATCTCCTTCTGCACAATGCCCGCTGCCCACAAAGGACCTCCAATCTGTCCCACTCCTTTGCCCAGACATGCCCCTGGGCCCCCAGCAGTCACAGAGAGCCCTTTGCTTATCCTGCCTAGTCAGGCACGATCTGGTCCACCTGGCTTTGGCCTCATGGCCTCTCTTCACCCCACCAGCCACATGTCACTGCCCAGGGGCACCGCAGTGCCTCTCCCTGTGACCAGGGAGTCCCGGGGCCCACCGTAGACGATGACAGCAGCGGAGGCGCTGCGGCGACGTGCCACGATGTTCTTGGCCACGCAGGTGTAGTTGGCCGTGTCAGCAAGGCGGGCCTGTCGCACCACCAGGCTGTGCTCCCGCGTGATGTATACATTGGGGTCCAGGGACGGGTCCACCAGGTCCTCGTTCCGGAGCCACTCCACCTAGGGGAGGGAGCCCTGCCATGTACTGCCAGCCCATGCTGGCCCTGCCCAGAGTGGCCCCTGCCAGGGTGACCAGGCAGGAGCCCAGGTCCAGACGTGGGCACTAGAGGAGCCCTCACCTCGGCTGGAGGGATGCCCTCCGGTGGACGGCAGGGCAGCACGATGCCCTGCTCCAGGGACACCTCCTTGGCCAGCGGCTCCTGCTCGAAGTTCTTGCGCAAATCTAGAAGAGGAATGAGAGTGTCCTCCTGTCTGAGGGCCTCGCACAGGCTCAGCCTGGCTGGCTGTGTCCCTTGTCCTGCAGGGGCCGTGGCACATGGCAGAGGAAGTGCCAGGTGGCCAGGGGGCCATGGGGTGGCTGGGCCGTGTCCACAGGCACTTTATCCACTCATCCAGGCAGGGCTGTGAGGTTTTCTGACCGGACCGCCTCTTCCAGGAAGCCTACTGTCCCCTCTCCTGGTGACACCCTCCCGCCGTGCGCCCTCCCCCAGGGCCCAGCCCTAGACTCACAGGCTATGCGGATGTAGGCCTTCTGACTCTTGGTGGTGCCCGAGGAGCTCCATGCCACGCACTGGCACCAGTATTCCTCCAGCCCGAACACCTTCTCGACCTGCTGCCTTGAGACATTAATGCGGACCTCCATGGTGGGCAGCCCTGGGGGCGGGAGGGGCAGGTAGTCAGAGCCCCAGGGCCACCCTGAGCTTCTGTGTGTGGGTTCCTGCGCCACCCTCAGCCACTCTCGCTGACTGGCAAGGGAGTGGACTTTGTTTTTTTTTTTTTAAATTTTATTATTATTATATTTTAAGTTTTAAGGCAACCTCCAGCCTGGAGGAAACTCCAGGGGGCCCAAGGGCCGCTTGATTTCTATCTCCTGAAGGCCCCGGGCAGGCAGGGTAGACCTTCCATTCATTATACTTTGTTACCTGAGGCCTGACTCCCCGGAGTCACTTACAGAAATGTCCATAAAGGGGCTGCCGTAGAGCTTTGGGCCAGAGGGTCTGACCTCCAAAGACTCCAGGCAGAAGGGGTGGGGCAGACAGGCTGAGCTCTGCACCTCTGTGGGTAAAAGAGGTGAGGAAGGATCTGGCCCCCTCCCTCGGGGGCTAGCAGATAGATCCTGACGTGATAATATAATAACAGTCATTAACAATATAATTGCAGTGATTATGTAGTATGATGCTAGCGCCCTGGGACTTAGGGTTTCCCACGTGCCGGGATGGGGATGTCGTCTTAATCCACTCCCTTGGACAGAAATGCAGAGGGAAGTGACTTGCCATGGGGACCCGGGACTGTCTGCATCCGAAGGGTGAGCTGGGGCGCCTATGCACTAGGGAGAAACTTTGGAAGAGGGTGAGAGAGCAGCCAGCAGAGGGGGAGCTGGGGGTCTAGGACCCGCTCTGCCTAACTAGGGTGAGCTGGGGGGACTCCGCTCCAGGCTGGACTCAGCCCCCCACCTTCTGCCATATCTGGCCTGAGGCAGGCTGAGGACCCTCTGACAACTCAGGAGCGGGGGCAGCAACCCTCCTCCTGCCCCGTCTGTAGCCAAAACCAGCATCCCCAGCAGTGAGAAAAGACTGTTTGCTTCCAATTTCTCCTCCTCCTGACCCCAATTTCCCTCGGGTCATTGGCTTATCAGAAAGGGAGAGAGAGGCCGGCAGCCAATGTGTTTCCATTGTTAACAGCGAAATTCAATTAGGGCTGCATTGCGGGAAGAGCGGCCGCCCAGCTGAGCCGGCAGGCTGGGAGGCTGTTTCCCTCTTAATTTCTCTAACATGACTTTCTCCGACTGCTTCCCAGACCCCTCCTCACAAGCCTCTGGGCTCTCACACTGGGTGTCCAGATTTTTCTATCACTTTGTCCCTGTCGCCGGCCAGCTATCATAGGAGATGGCAGAGCTGTCACCTCTGGTGAGATCATGGTAGCTGGGCCGCTTCCCTCCGTTCTGGGCACCACCTGCCCCGTTCTCTAAGACACCCAGTGTGGACACTCTCAGGGGGTGGGGTGGGCAGGCTGAGAACGAGGGGGTGGCTCACAGGGTCCTTGTATAGGAGAGGGGCCTTGGGCACCAGCTATCTTTCAATGTGACTTAGGGCATCTGATAAGGAGATCTGGGGAGGGGCCCTCCACTCCCTTCATCCTCTCTGCCTTGGGGGTTAGGGGTGGGAGACCTCCAGAACATTCTGAACTGGGTACTTTTTCTCCCTTGGGTGGACAAGTCTGTTAATGGTTCCTCCATCCCCCGTGGTGCTGTGGGGAGCCCGGCCCTCCTTCAGGAGCCTCACCCATGGCCCAGGCGGCTCAGCTTGGGAGAACAGCACTACCTTTAAGCGCTCCCTTTTCTTCTCCCTTTGCCTTCCCTCCCCTTCTGTCCTGCCACCTCCTCTCCTCCCTCTCACTTGCATGAGTGAGGGCCAAGTGTGTCCTCAATGTGCCAGCTCCACGCAGTGCCTTGGTGAGGGGTGCCCTTCAGCCCCACAAGCTCCTGGAGGGCAGTGCCTGAGGCGGGGGCTGCAGACCCGGCCCTACCCCATCTTTGATGTGAGGGGCTGTGCGCTCTCCTCTTGTGGATCATCAGGCAGCCTGGTTCCTGGGAGCAGTGTCTGGGTACAGCTATGTCTGTACCTGCCCATAAGTGTGAGCAGGTGCCAGCCCTGGGGAGGGACCCCGGGCCAGTGGGCCTGGGCGGGTGTGTGTGTGAACCTGGGCTGCCCAGGGTTTCTAGCTGGGGCTCTGAGGCCAAGCTGGCACTTCGGTTCTCACCTTCTCAGCAATCTGCTTCTAAACAATCTAATAACCAATCAGTTTGTTTAACACAAAATAAGTTATACTCCCAGACCGGACTCCAGTGCTTGGTTTTGCAAATTTCAGGCTTTTTTTTAGTGTTAGCAGGTTTGGGTTCCAGCACTTCAGGCCTTGGTCCCTGCCCCCTGGCCTTCTGGGTGAGGAATGAGGGCAAACGAGAGGGAAGTAGGTGCTCTCCTGGGTGTCCATCCGGCCACCTCCAGCCCCACACATGAATGAGTGGGCTGCAGAGCTGGGTGGGCCTCCGAGCCCTGCCATACCTGTCTGACCACAGAACGTTTCTGGTTTGGGGTCTTTGGTCTTTGGCGGCGTGGCGCCACTGCCGTGGTATCTGCCGTGGGTAAGGAAAGCCTTTTTCTTCACCTCAAAGCACTCGATGGCTTTGGGTTGAGAAATCGATGAGATCAATGAACGTTCAGATGTTCCGGCCATGGGAGGCTGGAGTCGGATGCTCGGGGCAGAAGAGGACCCTGGCGGTTACGGGTGGGACGTGTCCCAAGCTCTGCTTCTCTGCCCGGCAGGAAGAGAACAGGGCCACAGGAGCCGGCTGGGGAGTGTGGGCCAGGGGCTCCCGGTGTGTGTGCCGGCCCGGGCCTGCGACTGCTCATTCAGGCAAGGGTCTGGGTTCCTGCCAGTCCATGGATCTGAGCCCTCATAATGGCAGGGGTGTTTCAGACAGAGGGGTGTGCGGGGGAGCCCGGAAGGGGGTGCTGGGAGCAGCAGGGGGCTGGACTGGAGCTTCCAGGCTGCAGGAGAGCAGCTCTCTGGCTGTGCTTTCCCTGGGGGACCTGCCACAGCAGTGGGAGAACTTATGCTGAAGGGACGCTGGGCCCCGGGTGTGGGGTGGGGAGAAAGGAAAGGCCCCGTGCTGGGTCCTGACTGGGCACGTGAGATTTCATGGCTTCCCCCGACCAATCTGCAAGGGGCAGGATGGAGGGGAGGTCTCCTCACCCCCATTTTACAGATGAAGAAACTGAGCCCAGGGAGGGGAGGGACTTGCCTGCGGTTCTCCTGCAGACCCTCCCAGCAAGACAAGGTGGGCCCTGCTGCTGGGCAGGGAGGCCTCTGGCACCTCCGCTGGGGCCGGGAGAGGCTCTGGTCCTGGGAGGTGTTGGTGCCCAGGGTTCTGTTGGGCTACATTGGCCGCCAACCCTCTCTATCTCCCTCTGAGGGTAGGAGGTAGAGCTGGATCACTGCCCTGAGAGCATAACTCCTAGTACCTAACCCAAGGCATGGCACAGAGCAGGTGCTCAGCGAACACCTGAAGACCGCAGGTGAGAAGCTGCAGTCAGGCCAAGGCACTGAGACGACACTTGGGGGAGGGAGGCAGTCCCTGCTGACCCTCACGGAGGGGTGGTGTGTGACTGCTGCAGACGAGAAGGGCTGGTTGGAGCCCCGGCAGGGCTCTGGATGAGTAAGAGCCAAGGCCTCAGTCTCAACCGTAAAATGACAAGCTGGTTCTGGGGCTAAATGGCACTGCCTAAATCCAGGGCTCTTCAGCTCACCTCAGATCACTGCCAGAGCTTCCAAACCGTTCTCCCTGGCAGGGGCCTTGCCCTCCTCCAGTCTCCCTGTGCCCAGCACGGTCTTCCTACAGTGCAAGTGCGACCGCAGCCCGCTCTGGTGTCTCAGCCTCCAGGGGCCCCTTAGCGCAGTCTCCTGGCCACTGCTGCCTGCCCCGGGGTTCGCTCTCGCTCCATACCCGAGCCACCCAAGGCTGTTCTGCGCCTCTGCACCTTCCATTCTACAGGCCTGGGAGATGCCCTTTCCAGGTGGTTTTGAGACCTGAGCTTGGATGTTCCTCCTCCGCTGGGAATCCTTCCTGGGCCACCTCTCTAGGCCCAAGGTCCCCGGCCTGCCCTTGGCATCAGTGGGAGTCCTGGGTGACACCTGCTTGTCCCAGCTGCACTGTGGCTTGAGCCTCACGGCAATGGCCTGTGTGTCCCGCACGGGCTGTGCCTCGACAGGGTATGTGTGCTGTGTCTCAGGATGGCTGAGGCCTTGGTGGGAGGGGGCTCAGGACTACCCCTGAGGTGTCATTATGCGTGGGGTGCTCCACAAAGCACCAAGGGAGAGGAAACTGAAACAGGCTCTAATGAGTGAGGAGGAGGAGGAAAGGTAGGAGAGGAGTGGGGGAGGGGAGGAGGAGGGGGAGGAGGAGGAGGGGGAGGAGGGGAAGGAGGGAAGAAGGGGGTAAAGAAGGAGGAGGGGAGGGGGAGGAGGGGAGGGAGGAGGAGAGGGAGGGGGAAAAGGGGGAGGAGGGGGAGGAGGAGAAGCTGTTGTTTGCTCCTGCCTCTCTCTCTGCCAGTCCTTTCTGGGGGAGTTGCGGAACCCAGACAAGGGCTGTCTGCCCACGTCCCCAGTGCCACTTAAGGCCAGGGCTGGGGGTGGGGAATGTGGTGTCTCATGGAAGAGGTGCTTCCTGGGTCTGCTCGCTGCCCCTAGAACCTCTCTCTCTGTGCCCCCAGCTGAGTCTGGCTGGCCCCCTCTGCTCAGTGTCTCCAGACCTGCTGCTTCCATCAGCCCCAACTCTGGCCCCTGAATCACATATAGCTCTGGCCATGTCGCTCTGCAGCTTGAGATCCCCTAAGACAGTGGCATCAGTTTGGTCCCCTGCACACCCTCACCCTCACTGCTGACCCCACCACCGGCATGCCGGCGTCTGCCTCCAGGCTTTCCTGGGCTGTGTCCCCTGCCTGGGATGCACTTCCCCCTTCTGCACTCCCTAACCGGTTCTTATGCCTCTCTCAGTTAACACATCACCTCCCCTGAGGGGCCTCTCTCCCTGCTGAGAGGTCACCCCGCTGTCTGCCTCTCTGTGGGAACTTGGGCTCCGAGGGTGGCGGGCTGTCCCCAGCACGGGAGTGGGTGCTCACAGGTGTGAGTGAATGCCTGACTGATCGAATGAACCGACGCACAAAGAAAACAATCACTGAATGTGAGGTCTGGGAGCTCCTTGGTCATCAGGGACCCCCTCTCTCCCCCTCCTTCTCCCCAAACTGCTGAGGGTTGTGGCCTCTGGGGAAGGCCTCCGGGGTCCCAGGTGGGGAATCCTGGGGGCAGCTGCAGGCTCCTCTGGGGGGGCCGAAACTCGCCTCCCCCGGATTGGCCCTGCCTGGCGCCCCATGCGGCTCACCACTGCTCCCGTCTGTGCTGCGCTCGATCACGTGGTCCACCTGGCGCACCCACTCCCCGTTGCACTTGAAGAAGATCTGCGTGGCGGGCACGGCCTTGCACACAAGCAGCACTGGCTTGTTCTTGACGATGTACACATCCTCGGGCTCCACCAGGAAGTGGGGAAGCAGGTCCGGGTTGGCACCAGGCACTGGGTTGGCCACGGTGGCACTCTGCTGGGCACCTGCGGCAGGGCAGAGGGGGAAGGTGAGCCAGGGGCCAGACTGGGCAGGGTAGAGGCAGCGGCTCAGCAAACGATTCCACCGTGGGTTGGGGCAGATGGGAGGAGAGTGAGTCCAGGCTCTGCCATGTCCCAGCTGGGCAATCTCAGGCCAATGACCATCCCCCACCCGGGCCTCCATGTCCTCCTCTGTACAAGCAGGGAAGGAGCAGCCCATGCCATCCTGAAGACCGTGGTGAGGTGAAATGAGACCTGGGCGGAGTCCCAGCACCGAGGTGGCCTGGCGACTGCCTTCCTAGAAGTCCAGGGATCTGGCCAGGCAGGCCCCTGCCCGGGAGGTCCAGGGCAAGGCTGGCCAAGGTGAGAAGGTCCCTGGCCAGGCAGGTGAGCTGCCTGGGGCGAGGGAGGGAGCAGCCCTGGCCAGTGGCCGCCTCTGGGGCCCTGCTTCCTGGTTGGCCCCATCCCTGGCCCTGCACATAGTAGGTGCTCAGAAATAACATGCGGGGTGGGCACGGGCAAGGCGAGAGCCGGGAGTCTGTCTGGGAATCTGAGATACCTGGGCCACCTCCTTCAAGGAGACCTGAATATGTGGGTTTCCTTCTAATTTTAACTGAAAACCACAACCATCCCACAAGTCATTTGTTGCTAATTACACAGGTAATTGGCTTGGAGGCACTGGCAGAGGTAAAACCCCCAGAGTAGTCTGATCCCTGCCCAACCAGCAGGTCCCCTGAGAGGATGGGGTGGGGGTCACCCTCAGCTCCCACAACCCCCAGCTGCCCTTTGAACAGGTCCTCAGCCTCCCTGGGGCTGCAGTGATCCCCCCACCAATGCGCATTCACAATTGCAGCCCCTGGGCATAGAGGGAAACCCTGGGTTTCCAGACCATCTATTCTGCTCATCTTAGTGGTGACCTTGGGGAGCGAGTGGCTTGCTATCTGTGAGATGGAGATGACAGCTGCCTGTGGGGATGTCCACAGGCCCCTCACATGGATGGCCTCTGGGCTCCTCCACCCTCCCCACGGGTGATCCAAAACCCACCCAGGGCTTCAGACTGGGAGGCCTGGGCCCACCCTACCCACCGAGGGGCACATACGCCTGGCCCACTGCCCCTTTCGCTCCTGCTTGCGCAGGGACCCTCTCCCCAGGGTGGGAGTCCGCCCTTCACCAGGACCCTGGTTTCACGGCAGGAGGTGTGTGCACCAGCTCCTGCAGGCGCCCTGGAGGGCAGGCTCGGACCGAGGGTTCAGGGGCCTCTGCAACTTCAGGCAGGTCCATCCACCCCATCCTGAACCTGTTTCCTCACCTGCAAAATGGGGCGTGGTGCCCAGTTCTTAAGGCTGTTGTGAGGATGAAATGAAACAGGCGTGAGGCACTCAGCACAGTGCTCAGGGAGCGTAGGCTGCTGTTGGTACCCCCACGGTTCTGCGTGTTCCACAGCAAAGGGCTGCACCCCCTCAGCTCGGTCATCCTCACAGCAATCTCATAGGGGGTGAGAGCCAACAAGGAAACTGAGGCACAGAGCTGGCAGGTGCCTTAGGGATGGCAGAGGGAGGCTGGCTGAGCTGAGGGGTGCAACAGCTGTGTCTTTGTGAGCTCAGGGGCAGATGGGTGTGGAGGGCATTTGGGACATAGCCGGACAGTTTGTCCGCTGCTGGGTCGCCGGCCCTCCCTGGGCGCCTGCCCCTCCTCTCACTCTCTGGCCTCCCTGCCTGCCTCCTGCCCACCTGCCAGACTCCGGCCTCTCCCCAGCTTGGCTTTTTCCCTTGTGTGCCCTCCCACTGGCAACTGCCCCCCGCATGTTCCGCAGCTCTGTTATGGACACCAAGCCCGCATTCATAAGCGGGGTCACACTTGCAGTTCACATGTCGTGAAAATGAAGGTCATCAGACCCAGACCCACCCCACCCTGAACCACCTCTGCTGGGGTCTGTCGTAGGCTCAGGAAGTGGCGGAATGCAGGCGACGCTGGGGGGTGGGACCAAGACACCTTATTGACGGGGAACCTGAGGCCCGAGGGGGTCCCTTACCCCAGAGCCTCCAGCTGAGACACTGGGCTCATCAAGTGTACAGTCACCTGTGTGCTCGCCATGGTCACTTGGCAGCCACCGGCCAGCCCTGACCCAGACGTGGGACCCAGGGGTGGGCTCAGGGAGAGCAGTGCTGAGTTGGGCTCCCACATGGTCCTCCCACGGTCTGGAGAATGAATGGAAGGAGGTGGTCTTGGGAGGCTGGGGAGTGTGAACCCTGGAGTGGGGGTGTGGGATGGGTGCTGCTGGCCCGAGGGCCGCTCTAGACATGCACCCAGGCAAGCTGCAGCATTTGGGAGGACCCTAGGCCGTGCAGAGGACAGGCCAAGATGGATGCCAGAGCAAGCCCTGCAGGTGTTGGGGAGCAGGCAGGTGTCACCAAGCCCCCCCAGTGGCAGGTTCCCGGCCCACCTGTGCCACATCCCTTAACAGGTAGACAATGCGCTGGCCTGTGCCTGCCTCTTGGCGGGGGAGCTGGGTGGGCAGGGGTCCCTGGCTGGGCGTGTGGGGGCAGGGAGGGGGTGTGCGGCCCTCCAGCCTCCCTATCGATCAGCACGCCAAGCACTGCTTGCGTCAGCCGCCTGGTGAACCCAGCACAATCCCTCATGTCTGCATTTAACTGCTAATGAAAAATAAATGTACTGTGACCAATAAGGGGCATAGCTCACTTCTCCAGGGCCTCTGTCACGCCACAGTGGCCCCGGGGGGCATTTATCCGGTGGACCCAGGGGGCACCCTCCAGGCTGCAGCTATGCCCTCTAGCAAGGACATTCTAGCAGCTATGACCTCTAGCAAGGACATTCTAGCAGCTATGCCCTCTAGCAAGGACATTCTAGCAGCTATGCCCTCTAGCAAGGACATCATTCTAGCAGCTATGCCCTCTAGCAAGGACATTCTAGCAGCTATGCCCTCTAGCAAGGACATTCTAGCAGCTATGCCCTCTAGCAAGGGCATTCTAGCAGCCATGCCCTCTAGCAAGGACATTGTAGCAGCCATGCCCTCTAGCAAGGACATTCTAGCAGCCATGCCCTCTAGCAAGGACATTCTAGCAGCTATGCCCTCTAGCAAGGACATTCTAGCAGCTATGCCCTCTAGCAAGGGCATTCTAGCAGCTATGCCCTCTAGCAAGGACATTCTAGCAGCTATGCCCTCTAGCAAGGACATCATTCTAGCAGCTATGCCCTCTAGCAAGGACATTCTAGCAGCTATGCCCTCTAGCAAGGGCATTCTAGCAGCCATGCCCTCTAGCAAGGGCATTCTAGCAGCTATGCCCTCTAGCAAGGGCATTCTAGCAGCCATGCCCTCTAGCAAGGACATTGTAGCAGCTATGCCCTCTAGCAAGGGCATTCTAGCAGCTATGCCCTCTAGCAAGGACATTCTAGCAGCTATGCCCTCTAGCAAGGGCATTCTAGCAGCCATGCCCTCTAGCAAGGACATTGTAGCAGCTATGCCCTCTAGCAAGGGCATTCTAGCAGCCATGCCCTCTAGCAAGGACATTCTAGCAGCTATGCCCTCTAGCAAGGGCATGGGTGGGGTAAATTAAGGTGCTACTGGACGTCCTCTCGGGGCTACAGGAATCTTCCTGGGCAGTCAGGGCTGGCTTTCTCTGCCTCTGGCCCCCGAGCTCACTGTGTGACTTCTATCCTTGCCATCAGTACCTGAGATCTGTCTGTCCCCCCCTCGGTGTCCCGGTCAGGGCTCTCACCTGAATGAAGGCACAGCCGAGCCTCTCGCCTCCCCCACTGCACAGCCCAGGCTACTAGCGTGAGCTTCCTTCCTTTCTTTCTTTCCTTCCCTCCCTCCCTCCCTGCCTGCTTGCTTGCCTTCCTTCCTTCCTTCCTTCCTTCCTTCCTTCCTTCCTTCCTTCCTTCCTTCTCTCTCTCTCTTTCTTTCTTTCGCTTTCCATGTACTTGTCCATCAAAGACAACGCCAGGTAGTGCCTGCTCAGTCCAAAGGACCTAGGATCCTTTCAACAGGGCCTGAGAGCTGGCTAGTTTGCCGTAGTCCCCACCACTCCCTGTTGCCTCACCCTGGGTCTGTTTCTCCCATTTCCATTGTTCATCTGGCTCCCATGGGTGTTTCAGAATAGGGCCAAGTGCCTTTGACTGACATCACTGAGCCTCACGTTCTGGCCCCAGTCAGTGCTCCAGCCCTTTTCTGAAGAGACACCCATGGATCCCTCCGAGGCAGGAGCTTCCCACCTCCAGGTCTCTGCCTGAAACTCCCTTCCTTCCTCTTTGTCCAGTGCTTTCCTACCTTCTCTCCAGGGCTCAGCTCCAATGTCACCTCCTCTGGAAAGAGGGTTCCCCTACCTCAACTCTCCTGGGAAACCACACATGCCATCTCACCCTCTCTGCATCTAGGGCCTGTCCTCGCTGGTGCTGGAGCTGTTGTCACAGGAGAAGCAGGCAGGAGGCTTTGTCCCCACCCCCAGACTGTGCATCCTCGGTCCATGCCGTGCAGCACAAGGCTGCTTAATGCGGGCATTAGCAACTGGGGCCTCGGGGTGGGGTGCCTACCGCTGCTGCCTCTGGGGCCACTGACGGACGGGCGTGTGAGAACACTGCCAGGGCGGACACACCTTGGTTGCAGTGGCTCGTGGGCCTGCAGGACAGCAGGCAGGTATGGGCCCACCAGCTTCATGGGCCCTGCCACTTCCCAAACCCCACTCATCCCTAGTTTCCCAGAGGCTCCTTCTGCCATGTCACAGCTTTCCCACTGGCAAGGGACGTGACCTGGCCTGGCTGCCCGCTTGGAATTAAGTTAGAAGACCTCATTCACTGACTAGCAGATTCCTGACGGGCGCTTGGTCACCAGGAACTACAGGACTTGGTCAGACAGGGCTGGGTGGATGACTCAAGCCCTGAAGTGGGAACCCCATTTGCGGTGAGCCCCAGAGCCCACTGGCTGGCCCTGCCTCTCTCAGGAGAGAACTGGCTGCCCACGTCAGCTGGAGCTGGTGCCCCTGCTCGGCAAGGGTGGGAGCAGCAAACTGGGCAACCCCCAAACCACACATCTTCTCAGGAATAGCAAGGAGGAGGGGCAAGGCGTGTGTGTGTGTGCGCATGTGTGTGTGGCATGCATGTGTGTGTGTGTGCGTGTGTGTAGGGAGGCTGGGGGCCAACGGGGGTGGCAGCTACAGAAAGGAGGGGAAGCAGATGAGTCCCCGGGGCCGGTGGCAATGGGAGGCAAGAGACCCCTGGGCAAGGAGCCTTGGACTGAACTGAGCCTGGGACGGATGCCACCTTCTTCCAAGACATGAAACGTATCCATTCAACAAATAATTATTGAGTGCCTGCTGTGTGCCAGGAACTGTTCCGGGCACCGGGATCCAGCGCAAGCAAGACAACACAGTCCCCGTCTCTGAAGCTTGCTTTCAAGTTGGGGAAACAAAGCAAAACAAAACCCAAGTGCAGCAGAGAAGGTAGAAGGGGCGGACTAAGTGCAGCAGAGAAGGTAGAAGGGGCAGACTTTCAGAAAGGGGCGGGTGAGAGGGCTCTCGAGGGAGCGGGGCTCAGGCAGGTGCCATCTGAGCAGCGCCCTGAATGCCAAGGCCAGGCTACAGAGTGTGCTTGGAAAAGGGAACAGGGGAGGCCCTAAGGCAGGAGGCAGCTGGGCTTGTTTGAGGACAGCAGGGAGGCCAGTGTGGCCTGGGCAGAGTGAGTGAGGGCGAGACGTGTTTGGTCAGACAGGAAGCAGGGGCTGGACCCCAGGGGCCTTTACAGTCGAGTCAGGAGTTGGGATTTCATTGCCAGGGCCACAGGAAGCCTTGGGGGTCATGTGCAGGGGTGTGGTGTGCTCTCCCTGCGTGAGGAGTGGGAGGGGAGGGGTGGCACTGGGCAGAGGGGAGGTGGGGAGGCTGCTGTGGGCATCCAGTGGTGTGGACTGTGGTGGACCTGCTCCACCTGGTCCACCAGGGAAATGTCAGCAAAGTTGTCGCCTCCTCCTGGAGGCCTTTCTGGATCCACACTTTTTGTCACTCAAAGCACCTGCTCCATCCCCTGAGCCTCCATCTGGGTTAATGCCACTTCAGGACCAGGGTGAGTTTGTACGCCACTTCCCTTGTTAGACCATAAACTCCCTGGGGGCAGGAGCCCAGGTCTCACCAGGATGCTGATGGAGTGTTTGTTGCGTGACTGAATGACCACCGCTTTTTCCCTCTAGAATTTCAGATCTGCCTAGGGTGGCCCCTTCACTCCTGGTCTGTGGAGAGACCCAGAGAGAGGGCAGAGCAGCCCACAGGCGGAGTGGCGGGCAGGAGAAGCCCCTGGCTCCAGGCTGCCCCCAGCCACCCGCTGGCACATGCTGCTCTTGTAGGCTCAGCCCCTTTCCTCACCTGCAGTCTGGGAGATAAGACTCGCCCGGAACTCTGAGGCCCAAGGTGGGTGTGAAAGTGCTTTCAAATGTTTTATTTTTAAAAGCACCAGAAAATATGAGGTGTGATTAATCAAGCTATTAATGAACCCATATATACTGAGCAAGGCCTCCGTCCCTGGGGGCAGGGGAGGGGTAGGGACAGGGCGTCACTCGGCCTCACTCAGCTGGGAGAGGTGGGTGCTGCTTCCCCAGGGCGGCTGCCGCCATTCCTTCCATCCTCCCAGCGGCCTGGTGGCGGGCGCCGTCCGCCCTGCAGACCACACGGCGCGGTTGAGGAACACAGCGAGGGGCCAGGGTGGCAGCCCCTTCCTCTGCTTCCCTGAGAGCTGTTCTGGATGTGAAATGGGGTGGAGGAGGAGGCTGGGGCACAGCAGCCAGCATTGCACCCCTGAGCCCTGGATGCTGGTGCCCAGCAGGCCTTGGGGAGCCCCTGGGCAGCCTCCCCATGGAGGTTTGCCCCCAGTAGGTCCACCAGGGCCTGGGTTCCCCGCTCTACAGGTGCTCGGATGTCCGGGCATGGGGAGTGCCACAGGATGACGTGCCACTTGTGCCTCTGGCTGGCATTTGAGGCCCTGCTGGCCTCGCCTCTAGGGATCCCTCCACACCGGCGGCGTCTTCGCCACGTGCAATTCTCAGGGGTTCTGCGTGTTCTGTCCCAGTTTCTGCCTCCCTCTCACTTTCTGGCTGACAGTGCCTGATTTTCTTTAAAGAATGCCTTCCCCTCAACTCCTCCCACCATGCAGGCCACGTGGTCCAGGGGCTGACCCTATCTGTGGACCCAGAGGTGGGCACGCTCCCCCTCTCCCATCCCCACCAATGGTTCCCAGAAGGACTTGCAGGCCGCCCCGTCCAATAGACGGGATTCCAGCATCTTGGTCGGGTTTTTGGGAAGGGAGACCCTCTCCCTGTGCTGAGCTTGGAGCCGTGGGCATGGAGCCCTGGAGTTGCCGGGGGCCCTCACAGGGAAGGGCCAGTCCTGCAGGCATTGTAGGCCTTCGTAAGGCTGAGGGTAAAGGCAGGCTATTCACAGGTCTGAAGCAAGAGCTTGAAGAGTGGAGACAACCAGTGCAAGGGAGAGGCCAGCTCCTCCTGCCAGCATCAGAGGCCTGGGGTCCCATGGACCTGGAGGCACAGCTAGCTCTGGATTCCCAGAGCATGAGCCAGTACATTCCTTTTTTTGGCTGAAGCTAGTTGGAGTCAGGATCTTTCCATCTCATTGGTCCACCTGCCCATCTGCTGTCTGCCTGGGTGACCACTACTCATTCTTCAAGGTCTGCTCAAACACCCCCTCCTCCAGGAAGCCTGCCCTGACCCCAGTCTGAGCTCCCACAGTCCCTTACCGAAGTCACCCCAGTGCCTTGAATATCATATTGTCACCATTTATGCATGTGTCTTCCCATATAAATTGTCAGGGCCTTGAGGGCAGGGACCACCCATCCCCACAGCCTGGTCAGGACCTGACATACAGCCAGAGAGTTTTTGTGGAATGAATGTGGAACATCATTCCCAGCAATGGGACAAGAGCCCAGGAACGAAGGGCTAGAAGTGGAGGAGGGAAACTCAAATCTGGCTGGGAGCCAGCTCTGCTTACCTTCCAATCAACCAATGAACCCCTCAGTTCAATGGGAAGGGAACCAGGTTCTTCAAATGCCAGTGCTGGACCCTGGGGAAGCAGAGGGGTCAGGGAGCCAGGGGGCACAGCGGCAGGGGGCAGGGGGAGCAGGAGCCCAGTGTGGCTCAGCCGGGCTTGCAGACACGCAGGGGAGTGGGGCTGAGCACTCCCTGCCACCTGCATCCCTGCGGCCTGAGATGGCGGCATGAGTTATTACTTTTTAAACATACACAGTTCTGTGAAGAGGGAGCTTCACTAGGGGGCTCTGATAAGCAGGGACACGTTCCGCACTTGCTGTTAGAGAGACAGAGAGAGACAGAGACAGGGACAGAGACAGCACCTGTGGTGAGGAGGGCAAGGTGGGGAGTGGCAGGTTCCATGACCTGGGTTTCAATCTCTACCGGAGACTACAGATCTGGGTGGCACAGTAAGAGCCATGAGAGTCCAGGTGGCAACTCAGGTATGAACCTGCCTGGAGGTAACAACGGGGTGCCATGCAGCCAGCAGCAAGCTGGGGTGCACGCCTCTGAATTCTTTCAAAGCCAAAACATAAAAAACCTCTGTACAGCCTGCCAGCTGCTTCCCTGGCCTTATTTGACCCCACTGCAGCCCCTTGTGCGAACCGCCTATTTCTAGAGCCTCATTGTTCTCATTTGTGAAACGGGCAAATAGCGGATGAGGTTTTTCGGGAGTGCAGTCCACCCCAGGACTTGCTTCTCTTCTTCCCCTTCCCGTCCCCTTGGTCCATCCCTCTGTCCATCCTCTGTCGCCCTAGCAGTCACCCCCAATAGCACAGGACTCCCTGGACGGCAGGGACAGGTCTGAGCCCAGAGTCCCAGGGCCCATGCCCAGTGTGTGGTGAATGCACGAAGGTGGGGAGAGGGCAGTGTCTCCTGTCTAGGAGCGTGCCGGATGTGGAGGTGACTGGATGGGGGTGACAGTCCCTCTCAGTGCTCCTTGGAAGGGAGGGCTGCTCCCCCGACCTACGCTCACATACAGGCAAGCACGGCACTCTGGTTTCCATAGTAACGTGTGCATGAAGGTGTCACTGAAGCAGCAGCCACCTCCCCGAGATCGGAGGAAAGTCACCCTCTTCCCCAGTGGGCTCCAGGGGCCTGGTCACAAGGACGGACACAGGAGTCACGAGGAGGACATGCAGACAGGCTGAACCACAAAGAACAAAGGGGCAGGGCGGGGGCGGCACCGCTCCCATCTCAGAGGATGACTACTCTGGGCAGGGGCACCGCTGGTCCCTTGCCCGCCAGCTCCTGCAGACCAGGCCTGTCCTCCGCCCCGGCCACTGCTCACAGGCTCCTTCTTCCTGCCTCTGGTTGTACAGACAAGGAACGTGAGGCTCAGGCCTTTCCTAAGGTGGTACAACCCACCAAGGACTTTAGCCAAATGGCCGGGGCCAGGAGTGGGGCAGGGCTCCTGTATCTGTTCTCAAATGCTCTGCACTCACCCCACTGCAGGGCCTTTGCACTTGTCGTGCCCGCACACGCTGCCTCCGATCTTCCCACAGCTGCCTGCTCTAACCCGTCCCATCTCTGCTCCCGCGGAGTCACTGTCACCGAGGACCTGGCCTGTGTGAAGGAGCTCTTCCTCTCCCTCCCCTTTCCCAGTCTGTTTTCCTCCTCACGCCTGCCACCACCTGAGGTCATCTTGTTTGTGTACTTGGTTACTCTTCCGTAAAACATGTCACAACAGCAGGACCACATCTGTCTTGCCACCGGTCCCAGCACCAGGCACAGGGCCTAGCACTGGGCAGGAGCTGAGCCAAGATGTCGCAAACGCAGAGTGAACTGGCTTGGGCCTTCCCACACTTAGTGTGACACTGTTGCCATCGCTAAGTACCTGAACCCACCGCAAAGGGAACTCAGAAACTCCCGGGGGGAGTGCTGTGATGGGGGGACGGGCTCCTATGGCCCCAACCAAGGGCCCCTTCCTGCTGAGGGGCCTCGCCTCAGGCCAGAGAAATAGTTAATAAAGCTGAGGTCTAAATAAGCATTTGATTAACAAATGATAAAATAGCTATTGTGTCCCTGAATTAAGCTGTAATTGTGGCTGATAATTGGCTGGTTAGAACTTAATAAGCTGCAATTAAATAGAATGGAATCCAGGGTAATTATGTGGTCACACGGCCCAGGGAAAACTGGGGAAGGAAGGCGCTTTCCTGCCTTGGGATCCTTGGCCGGCGCCTGTGCTTTGGTAGCTGTAGTGTGTGTGTGTGTGTGCTTCTGTGTGTGGGGTGTGTATGTGTTTCTGTGTGTGTTTCTGTGTGTGATATGTGTGTGTTTCTGTGTGGTGTATGTAGTGTTTCTGTGTGGTGTATGTGTGTTTCTGTGTGTGTGGTGTGTGTGAGTGTGTGTGAGCCTCCCTCACCTCTCACCTGGCAGAGGCAGGTGGCCGGCCCAGCTGCCTCACAAGCAGTAGGGGCGGTAGGCAGGCTCTGAGCCCTGGCAAGGCCTGTGGCAGCCCCGGCTGAGAGAGACATAAAGAATTCCTGGCACAGCTCCCCAAAAGGCGAGAGGCCAAGAGAGGGTAGCCGGCAGGGCGCTGGGAACACGACAGAGGCAGGCAGGTGGGTAGGGTCCTTCTGTCTTCCTAATGAGGAAATGAGTTCAGAGACGGGATGACTAGCTCAAGGACACACAGCGACCATGGCAGAGCCGGGGCAGATCACCCGACTGCCCACGGATGGAGGTAACTCTACTTAGAGTAGCTCTGGGGGCACCCTCCCCATTTCCATCCGGGTTCTTCCCCAGGCACACGCACCATAAGGCCGAGTAAGGACAGTGCACCTGTTCCACAGTTGCCCCTCAAGACAGGCCAGCTGGAAAGTCAGGAGCTGCCCCAACTAGGAGTGCCACTCTGCAGCCCCTCCTGACAGTACATTCTTCCCCTGCCTCCTGCCCCCATGCTCCCCTCCCCTCTCCGGGGGCCACCCGAGGGGGGTGCACAGAGCTCCCTCAGAGGCTGCAGCCCGCCATGGCCAGCCCCGCCCCCAGCCCAGGTGTGGCCCCGGCGCGGGGATGATGAACAGCGTGGCCTACACCATTTATGGCCCCGTCAGCATTTTTACAATGTTGCTGGCAATTAATTTAATTAAAGACCCTGTCCCACATATGGCGGCATTTCATATCTCACTGGTTTAATGTGTGCCCCGCCAGAGCTGGGGCCGGGGTGGTCCAGGAGTGGCAGCAGCTCAGGTTGTGCAAGGTGGGGACCAGAGCCCAGAGGCACTTGGGAGGTTACACAGTCGCCTGCCCTTGGCTGGTGGGAGACACTGCCCACAACCACAGCCGTCACGGCACCCACACAGTCACAGCAACGACAGCCATGGTGAACTTGACAGGATGTTATTTAACCCTCACAACAATTCTAAGAGGCAAGGAACTAATTTGAATTACCAATGAAGAAACTGAGGCATGGAGAGGCACAGTAAGTCGAGAGCGATGGGTTCCTGCCCAGGCAGGCTGGCTACAGTGCCCCGGGCTCTCAACCAGGAGCATGCATCTGGCAACATGTCCTGGCACCGTGCTAGGCACCGGCCAACACAGCCCAAGAGGGACCCACGTCCATGCCCCCATGGGGTGGCCCAGGGACCCCAGCCCCACTGGGAAGTCCTGGGAGCACTGGGAAGTCCTGGGAGCACTGGAAAGTCCTGGGAGCACTGGGAAGTCCTGGGAGCACAGCCTCCAGAATCATGCCTGCTGCAGCCCGGTCCATTAGCATTTGTGGGCACATACACCACTGCCCACACTAGGATGGTGACTGAGGCCACAGGCCACCAGCCAATCTTTGATTCCCATTCTCAGCAGATGAGCCCGCTTGGACCCCTCCTCATACAATGGCCCACAGGAAAACCCAGTAACCTAGGGACAAACCCAGCTCCCACTCATGGGTCCCACCAGCCCAGGGCGACAGCAGAGGCCAGCACATGCAGCCACTCCTTGAAGCTGCAAACGGCTTCCCGGGCTCGGCTCTCCTGAGGCCCCGCTTCTGTGGCCCCCATCAGCTCCTGCCCCGGGGTCCCTAGCCAGGCTCCCCGCCCACCCTCGCTGCCTGCGCCATCCCGACTCTCCTTCTGCCTCTTGCAGTCAGCAGGGCCCCCACCTCCCAGGAAGCCTCCCTCCTTTCCTCCCTCGTGGCCACCTAACTCATCCAGCCTCCACCCCCGGCCCCACCACCCAAAGTGTGCCTTCCCTTGGCTACCTCCTAGCTCAGTGCCGTCCTCAACCTCGCTATTTCTAGAAAGAGAATCCGATCTCACACTTCAAACCCCTGCAATGGTTCCCATACAACTAACACAGCAGTCCCATCCCTGGTCACCAACCCATACCCTGCAGTCAGCTCAGCCAGGTGCATGTATTAAAGTTAGGGCTCACACCCCGACTTCCTCCTAAACCTGCAGGGCACCCCACCTACTACCAATGCACTCAGCCCTGTTCATTCAAAATTAAAGATGTTGCCTCCTCTGGGCTGGTGTGGCAGGGACTGGGGGACGTGGGGCTGCATGGCTTGCTCCTCGGCCTCCCATGATCCTGCTGACGCAGGGCTGGCTGTGCAGGCACCTGCCTCCGCTGTCAGCCTGTGCACCCTCCAGTGCACACAGCAGGTGGGAGCCAACTCTTCTCAGCAGTGTCCAGCTCAGGGGCTGGCAAGTCGGGGGCCAGTGATGGTGGCAGAGTTGAAATGTCTCCTCAACTTGCCACAAGCTCCAAGAGTGGGCAGTAGGGTGTCATCTCTGTCCCTGCTGGCAACTGGCCCAGGGTATGTACTTGCTGGGGGCTGGGGCACAGCCCTCAGTTGGGCATCAGGAGGTTGAGTCCCCAGCCCCCACTCTGCCTCCACCTGGCCACGTGGCCTTGGGCAAGCCACTTCCCTCTCTGGACCTCAGGAGATGTAGGACTGAGTGAGAGGTGGCAAGTTCAGTGCCTTCAGGGGCTGGGTGGGGCTGGGAAAAGTGGACAGTGACAGTGTCCATCCAAGGGGGCAGGCCAGATGAGAGGTGCACCATTTTTTTAATTTTTTGAGACGCAGTTGCCCAGGCTGGAGAGCAATGGCGTGATCTTGGCTCACTGCAACCTCCACTTCCCTGGTTGAAGGGATTTTCCTGCCTCAGCCTCCCAAGTAGCTGGGATTATGGGTGCATGCCACAACACCCAGGTAATTTTTGTATTTTTAGTAGAGACGGGGTTTCACCATGTTGGCCAGGCTGGTCTTGAACTCCTGACCTCAGGTGATCCACCTGCCTTGGCCTCCCAAAGTGCTGGGATTACAGGCGTGAGCCACTGCGCCCAGCCTGCACTGATTTTTTTTTCCCCAAGGGAAGCTGGAAATCTATTTTTATGTGAAACCTCCCATTTAAAAATATTGACAACTAATTTAAACACTTTAAACACTCCGTGGGCCAAACAAGTCGGCAGGGCAAAGCCAGACTGGGCAGTGTCCAAGGCCTCTTCCGACTTTACCAGTCAGGGTCACAGCAAGGCAAGGGAACCCCCGCTGCCGCCACACTCCAGCCCTGTCCCTGCTGTGCCCTCCCAGTCTCTGCCCCGCTCTTCCTGCCCTTGCCAGCACCCCCTCATTCCTGGGAACCCTCCTCATCAGAGCCCCCAAAAGAAGGCCCCTGGGCCTGGACAGAGGCGGAGAGGTCGGCTGTCCATTGCCCCAGGTACCTGGGCGGGTAGCAGGATGTACCTGTCAGCACCAGGTGTCCTCTCAGCTGAGGCCTGAGGGCACTGTCCCTTCCAGAGGCCGAGAGGGGAGAAGCTGCAATCCCGAGACGCGCAGGGCCCAGGCCGCGGCTGCCCATCTTGTGTGCCCGTGGTCTGAGCCTCAGCTCCTGCCCCTGGGTGAGGCAGCTGAAGCCTCCTGCAACCAGCGGCACAGGCGAGTCCAGGTGGGGGACTCCAGAGAGGGGACCCCTGAGACACCAGCCTTCCTATTCCAAATTTGGGCGGGAAGGAGCCTGGGCCCTGCTGCCACCTTCCATCTGGGAATAGGGTGTCTGGCCGCTCCCATCACACCCCTGATGAGACAGGAATGAGCCCTCACCCCGTTTTAATTACCCACTGTCCAAATAATTACCAGCTTGTTTACTTCACTTAATGACAGCCATACTTTTTTCTCCTGGTATTGATTTCATGTTTTCCTCATTTGTTCATTATCTTTCCTGCCCCTTTAATGGGCTCTAGGGTCTTGGAGGAACATGGAGGAAAGAGAGGGGTGGCCTCAGTGTCACTATGCAGCCTCAGATGAGCCGCTGCCCTGTCTGGGCCCTGAGTCCCAGGGCCTCAGATCCCTGCACACCCTCTTGTGCTTTGGGGTAGCAGGGGAGAGAGAAGCTGGGGTACCCCCTCCCCAAGGGTCCCTAAAGGATGTCACACCAGGCTGAGGGGCGGAGGGATCTGGGTGCGGGGGGCGGTGGTGCTAACGTGGAAATGAGGCGGGGAGGGGTGCTCTAGGAAACCAGCCTGGAGGAGGCCGCAGCGTGGGGGCTGCTGGTCAGCTGGTCAGTAGGGGCCTGGAGGGGCTGCTGGATGCCTCCTCTTCCTCTTGCCCCCCCAGGTCTGGTGTGGGAAGGCAGCAGGAGCCTCCGCCCTCAAGAAGCCCAGCCCTTCCCTGGGCCTGACCTCCATCCTGGGCCTCCGCCTCACCTGCCTGCTGTTACCATGGAAACGCAGGCGCTGCTTCCATGTCATCTGGGCTGTGGAAGGGCAGGCCCATTTCTCTGGTTTTGGCGGGGGAGGGTAAAGAGGAAGGGGGACACGGGGGGAGGGGAGGGCCAGGGGCCTCTTTGGGTGAAGATTTAGGGGCTCTTGAAGGGGTCATTGGCTCTTAATAAATCACTAATAATTGCATGAATATTTAAATCTTAATAAAAATATACTGTGGGCCCCCCCGAGTCTCTCTGTGTGGGTATTTATGGCTATCGGGCTGGAATATGTAAAAGTTGGGATCGGTCTGATTGAACTGCTGTTATCGCTGCAGCTAAACGGGTAATTGGGAGTGAGAGAGGCTACCAGTGGATATAAATTATATACAGCAAACCAAGGGCATTAACTGAGGGTTTATTATCAATTATCTCTGCGCTTGTTCCCCTTAAAACGAACTTTAAGTATATTAATGAGAAAATTTACAGGTCTTAATGAATTGAGGAAAGCCAGAGGATGCTGAGGGCCCCCCCGCCTCGGCAGCCTGTTCCCAGGAGGCGTCCCCATAGAAGGGAGGCCCTGGAGGGAGGGCGGGGTCAGCCAGCCGGACCACATGCGTGTGCACAACGCCAAGCCCGGCTCTCCCATC
Source organism: Homo sapiens (assembly GCF_000001405.40). Taxonomy (NCBI): domain Eukaryota; kingdom Metazoa; phylum Chordata; class Mammalia; order Primates; family Hominidae; genus Homo; species Homo sapiens. The sequence continues at coordinate 176,847,300 of NC_000005.10, read as the reverse complement.
AGTCCCAGAGGCCAGCCCTGTCTCTCTCCCAAATGCCCATCCCAGAGTCACGCGCTGGATGGGAACGGGGCATTTTCATCCAAGCATCCTTTCATCAGCGAAGACCACCAGGGCCTGGCTCCAGCCGTCGGGCATGGAGAATCAGCCGGCGCCCGACTTCAACGAACGGGGGTGAGGCAGACCTTCATCTGCTCCCAGGCGGGAGCGGGGCACCCATCGGAGTGGCACAAATGGAATGAGAGGGGGATGGGAGGGCGGCAAGGGGCTGTGCTGCTCTCTCCTAGGCTTGACGGGGGCGCTCCCTGTGGAAGCTCTGGGAGGGCAGAGCATGTGCGCGGCTCTGCGTCCATCCTGCTCCCAAGCACGTCCGCCCCTGCTGAGATGCGCTCCAGCCTCTCAGAGCAGCCCACAGGCCGACTGGCTTCAAGGTCGGCATGACCTCCTTCTGGGCCAATTCACCACCCAGCAGCCCCAGCTCCCTCCGGGCCTCGGCGCCAGGACTGTGGCTGCTCTCCCTGCTGTCCTCAGCCTCTCCCACCACCGGCTGTGGACCAGGTCCTGGGCAGCAGCTTAGATTCACCAAGCAGGTCGAAACCAGGCCTGGCCCCTCTCTAGAGCCCGCCCACTTGTGGGAGGCAGATACTGGTGAGATCATCCAAGTGGTAAGTCCAAGGTTACCGCCCAAAGTCAGAGTTCAGTCAGACAAGGGCTGGTGGCATGAGCACATAACTGGGGGGCCCGATCTGGGGCATCCAGGAGGGCTTCCTGGAGGAGATGTCACCAAGCTGTATAAGATGCCTCAATAGCCCAGGGGTCTCCAAGGATGCTCACCTGTCCCCCATCATGGACAAGAAAACCATTCATTAAACTCTTTGCTGTCTTGTCCCTGCTGGTCTGGGTCCCTTTTCTCTTTCCCCCTCCCTACTCAGCTCCCCCCACCCACCTTAATCCCATTCCTGGCTCCACCTCCTACAACCTGGCTTCCACCTCCGCCTAGCCATTTGCCAAAAGACCCCTCTGTCTCTGGTTCCAATGCTCCTTTTGGCTCAGCCTCCAGGGCTCCTCCCTCCTCTGTGCTCTGTTCTGCTCTCCCATCTCTCCTGGAGAGTGCCAGGCTCCAGTGAGGACCTCAGGGCAGAAAGTGCCCCCATCCTCATCAGGACCTCCAGGCTCGCCACTGCAGAACATTTCGCCTCAGCCATCCTATGTGGCTACCCCAGATGACCAGCTCCCTGTGCAAACAGCATGGCCACCAACCTGGCCAGAAACCTGCTGAATGTGGGCCTTCCACCTCCTTTTCTCCTGTCACTTCAGATGCCACAGGCCACTGTCCCTTTCACTCACCATGCAGCACCCAGCCCTTTGTTGGCTCTCCCGGTGCTCTGCTCAGTCCTGCTTCAGGGGCTTTGCATCTACTGTTCCCTCTGCCCAGAATGCTGTTCCCTCTGATGCCATAGCACACTCCTCATCGCCTGAATCTCAGCTCATGGCACCTCCCTGAGGAGGCCCTCTCTGTCTCCCCATCTAAATAGTGCCCTGTTGCACTGTAGTGCCTAGTGACCCTGGTGGGTGCCCTTCTGGACTTGTCTCTTTGTTGTCCATCTGCCTGGAACTAGAGGGGAAGCTCCAGGAGCAGAGGGGCTGTCTGTTTCATCCACCTGGACCAGGGCCTGGCTCACCGCAGTACAGATTTCAGAATGGGGGAATGCAGACATTTCTGGAAGGCTTGCTCTGTGCCAGGCCCCAAGCCCTGGGCTGCAGAGGGTCTGTGGGGCACTCATCGTCCAGCAGGGGAAGCCAGCAAGCACAGGTGCAGTGCATAACGCCCTGCCTCAGGGCCTCGGGGAACGGGCAGGGGCCAAGAGGAGGTGGGTAGGGAAGGTCATTCCAGGCCGATGAACAGCATAAGCAAAGCATATGAGGCAGGACCTATCTGGTGGCAGCACGGGCTGGATTAGACAGGCTTTGGATCCGTGCCAGGACACTGAGCGTGGGGAAGCAGGGGCGGCAGAAGACTTGAGCAGGGACGAGGGGGTCAGAGAGCTCTGGAGCGAGGGCTCTGTCGTGGGGCTGGTGGAGGCTATCGTCACAGGAGGACAGGGAGCTGCCTGACCTGGAACAGGCTGCTGGAGAGGGGGAACGGCTATGAAAAACATCCCCGGGGCAGGGCATGGAGGGTGACTCTCCTGGCGGGGAGGGAGGCAGGGCGGGAGCAGAAGATGCCTCTGTCATTTCCTGCCTGGTTGCGTGAGTAGATGGCGGTGCAGCCAGGCAGAAATAACTGGAGAAACCTTGGCCTACTGCTCACTCTCAGGGGAGGGCAAGACCACCGCCCTCTGATAAGGTGGGGCTTTTCCGGCAAGCTGCGAGCCACCAACCCACCCTGCTGCAGACCCAAGTGTGGAACTGCTGCTGTCTGTCATGAGCACTGGGCAGGGAGTCTGTGGCTGGCACCGAGGACCGACTTCCACGATCCACTGCAAGCAGTGCTGGAGGGTGGAGAGGGGTCTCGGGGTGAGTGATTGGGCCATAGCCCTGCTGAGTCCTCTGTTCCAACTGGAACAATAGGAGGCTGTGAACTGTGGTCCACAGACCCCTGGGTGTGATGTAGGAGGTTTAAGGCAGCATTTAAAGACTAGGAAGTTGCACAGAAACAATGGTTTCCCACCTCCTGTTGAAGAATTGGAAGCCAGGGTCACACCAGCCCATGCTCCTCCGAGCCACGGTGGGCTGTGAATTTCGGTGTGGCACAGTGCGGCTAAGTCCCCATCAGACCTTCCCTCACCAACCTGCTGTATGCAGTGGGCGCCCACGGCCAGCTCATATCATCCCGTGTCCCTTCTCGCTCAGCTGGGACACCGTGGGTGGACATAAACTTCCCCTGGCCTCTCCTTCCCTGGCACAGGGAAGGCCCAGGAGAACAGAGTGAGGCTGGGCCCTGCACAGATCTGGGCCCACCTCCACCCTGGGACTCCAGCGGTGGGGCTTCCTCAGCTGTGCCACACCCACCAAGAGAACCCCGGTGGCCCACGGGATACCAGGACCAAGTGTTCTCTCCAGCTCTGTCCTGAGGATCAGGCAAGGCCTGGGGCCTCTGATCTGTCCCCTGAGACGCTACAATCAGCATGGACCTGAGTTTAGTCACAGCTTTTATTCAAAAAGCCCCGTTTGCTGAACTCTCTCCAGCCCTCCACTCGTTTCCATGTCTCAGGGCCCCTCCTCCTCGTCCTCCCCGTCCCCTGCCTCCTGTCTCTGTAAATAATCCTCTCCTCTGTGCCTATAATTAGCCCCAAGTAGAATAATTCATAACAAACTTTATTTCTTGTGGCATCTTTCTTGCTAACGTGTCGCTGAGCGCCTCACACGATCAGCGGGAGGAAAGCAGACTCCAGGGAGCAGCTGAGAGCCCTCCCCACGCGCCGCACGTCTGTCAGAACGCCAGGGGCCAGGGGCCAGGGGCCAGGGCTGGGCAAGACGGCCCATCACACACCACGGCCGGGCCCAGCCGCCGAGTGGGAGGAGAGGCGCCCTCCTTGGCCAGCCTGAGCAGGGGGGCTCCAGGGCGCAGCCCGGTGGGTCAGGGATGCAAACAAGCCACCCGTCCAGAGAATCTTCCGTGGATAATAATAATGGTCACACTAATAATAATAAGAGCAGCGAGCACTTCCATACTTACTACACCCCGGCTCTGCTTTTCAAAAATCTGGGTTTTTCTTAAAGCATAAAATAATGTTTATCCCCATTAAATCTACAGCCTGATGAATTTGGACAAATGTATCCACCACCAGCATCAAGACACAGAATAGCTTCACCCCCTAAAGTTCCCGCCAGCCCCTTTGCACCAATCCCCCCTCCCAACCCCCTTCTGCTTTCTGTCACTGGCGTTTTGCCATTTCTAGAATGTCACCGCAATGGGATCATGCAGAATGGAGTCCTTCGTGTCTGGCTTCTTTAGCGGTACACAGTACTTTAGAGTCCCTCTGAGTGGCCTGAACCCACGGCAGCGTCCTTCCCCTGCTGGGCAGTGCCCCACCGTGTGGACGCACCACAGCATCTGTCCCCTCACCTGGGCTGTTTCCACATTTTGATGATTTTCTTTTCTTTTTTTCTTTCTTTCTTTCTTTCTTTTTTTTTTTTTTGAGACAGAGTTTCACTCTTACCGCCCAGGCTGGAGTGCAATGACGCGATCTCGGCTCACTGCAACCACTGCCTCCTGGGTTCAAGTGATTCTCCTGCCTCAGCCTCCTGAGTAGCTGGGATTACAGGCACCCATCACCACACCTGGCTAATTTTTGTATTTTTAGTAGAGACAGGGTTTGCCATGTTGGCCAGGCTTGTCTCAAACTCCTGACCCCAGGTGATCCACCCACCTCGGCCTCCCAAAGTGTTGGGATTACAGGTGTGAGCCACAGTGCCTAGCCCTTTTTGTAAAAAAAAAATAAAAATTATTTTTCCATAAGTGATTGGGGAACAGGTGGTATTCGGTTACGTAAGTTCTTTAGAGGTGATCTGTGAGATTTTGGTGCACCCATCACCCGAGCAGTATACACTATACCCTATTTGTAGTCTTTTATCCCTCACCCCTTCCCACTCTTCCACACAAGTCCCCAAAGTCCATTGTATCATTCTTTTGCCTTTGCGTCCTCATAGCTTAGCTCCCACATGTCAGTGGGGACATACAATGTTTGGTTTTCCATTCCTGAGTTCCTTCACTTATAGTCTCCAGTCTCATCCAGGTCACTGCAAATGCTGTTAATTCATTCCTTTTTATGGCTGAGTAGTATTCCATCATATATATATATATATATCACAGTTTCTCCATTTGTTGATTGACGGGCATTTGAGTTGGTTCCACGACTGTGCAATTGTGAATTGTGCTGCTATAAACATGTGTGTGCAAGCATCTTTTCTGTATAATAACTTCTTTTCCTCTGGAAGAATCCCAGTAGTGGCATTCCTGGATTAAAGGGTAGCTCTTTAAGGAATCTCCACACTGTCTTCCATAGTGGCTGTACTAGTTTACATTCCCACCAGCAGTGTAGAAGTGTTCCCTGATCACCACATCCATGCCAACATCTACTGTTTTTTGATTTTGTTTTGTTTTGAGACGGAGTCTCGCTCTATCATCCAGGCTGGAGTGCAGTGGTGCGATCTCGGCTCACTGCAAACTCCGCCTCCCGGGTTCACGCCATTCTCCTGCCTCAGCCTCCCGAGTAGCTGGGACTACAGGCACCCGCCACCGCGCCCGGCTAATTTTTTGTATTTTTAGTAGAAACGGGGTTTCACCATGTTAGCCAGGATGGTCTCGATCTCCTGACCTCGTGATCCGCCCACCTCGGCCTCCCAAAGTGCTGGGATTACCGGCGTGAGCCACCGCACCCGGCCTTGATTTTTTGATTATGGCCATTCTTGCAGGAGTAAGGTGGTATCGCATTGTGGTTTTGACTTGCATTTCCCTGATCATTAGTGATGTCGAGCCTTTTTTCATGATTGTTGGCCATTTGTATACCTTCTTTTCAGAAGTGAGATTTTGATGATTTTCAGTAAATCTGCTAAGAGCTTTCACAGACAGGTCTTTGGTGGACATATATCTTTACTTCTCTTGGGAGTGGGACTTCTCTAGAGAGAGGGATTGCTGGGGCATATGGTAAGCACATGTTTAATTTGATAGGAACTTTTATCTTTGTGGTTTGTGCTATGTACATTTGTAGAGAACTTCTCATTTCATCCTCACAGCAACGTTACGAATTAGGTGCTACCAAGATTCTCATTTTACAGGTGACAAACTGAGGCTCAGAGACATTCAATCAATAACATGTCCACAGCCACACTGCTGCACATGGGACAGCCAGGCAGCCCGGTTCCACAGTCTGTGCCCCAAGTCCCCTGCTATGCTGCATCTCACAGCTCTTCTAGGCTCAGCCCTGGGTGCAGCTCTGGGGTGGTGGGCACAGCTCTGATCTGGAAGCTGGGAGCTGAGTCTGAGTCCCCGCTTCACCTCTGGCTGGCTCACTCTGGCACAGCTCTGTCTGCAAACGGCACCCACAATCACCTGTGTCACTGAGCAGCTCTGTGGCTCAAAGGAAATAAATTAGAACAGACATCTGGTGCCCCCTGCAACTTTAGCTCGTGATCATTACCATGTGGTCCTGACCCCCTGACCTTACAAGTTTAGCTGAAGAGATGAGAACAGTTTCTGACACTCCCGTTGCCTGCCACAGCTTTCAATGCATGACCAAGTCACGCTGCCTCCATTCAGCGCGGAGTGGTTCATCCCCCTTCTCCGGTGAAGGAGGTGGATGGTTTTCCAGTGGGGAAACCTTTGCCCAGACACCCAGAGTTTGGGGATCAAATGGAAGCTCCATCCAGGCCACCCCACTGCCAGCAGCTCTCTGTGCTGCTCAAGCGTTGTGGGGGGACCCATAACAAAGGCGGGGCAGGGTGGCACAGAAGCCCTTTCCAGGGCTGTCAGCGTGGGCTCATGGGGGCAGGTCTCCCTGTCGTCTGGTCCCGTTTGTCCCACTGCAGAATGAGATTTCTCTGAAGCTGGCCTGGACTTTGTAAGTCCTCTTGGTTGTGGAGTTAGAAGATGGGCACCAGGGACGCCTGGGCCAGGGGGGGAGAGGCCCCCTTTTGTCCTGCCCACTTGCTCCCTCTGGGAAGTGCATCTGCAGAGGGAGGGTCCCCGGCCCTCACATGAGCCCTCTGCCACTCTGAGCTCTGCTCCGGACCAATGGATCCTAGACAGGGTGAGGGTTCTCTCAAAGGCAGAAAGAGATGAAGAGATAGAGATGTGGTCACCCCCTTGCAGAGCCCAACGTGTTATTAAAACAGGAGCACAAAAGAGAAAAGTGCTGATGTGAGTGTTATCTCATTTAGGAAGCTGCGGGCTGGTGGGAATGAATAATGGCTCTGCCGCCCAGCCCCTCCCCCGACTCACAGCCCAGCCTGTCCCTGCACCCTCACAGCGGGCCCCCATGCCTCGGAGTTCCTTCCCTCCTCTCTCTGACACTCTGCTCCAGTCTCCTCTCCCTCAGGCCCAGCGGGTTCCTTACAAGCCCCTGCTCTCCCCAACCACGTCCTAGTCCCCACAACCTGGGCCAACGCCAGCAAGGCGTGAAGAAGGTTCACACTTTAATGAAGAGGCCAGGCGCGGTGGCTCACGCCTGTAATCCCAGCACTTTGGGAGGCCGAGGTGCGCTGACTGCTTGAGGTCAGGAGTTCAAGACTAGCCTGGCCAACATGGTGAAATTCCATCTCTACTAAAAATACAAAAATTAGCAGGGCGTGGTGGCGTGCGCACCTGTAGTCCCAGCTACTCAGGAGGCTGAGGCAGTAGACCACAAGCCTGGACCACAAGCAAGGCTGAGGCAGCAGAATTGCCTGAACCCAGGAGGTGGAGGCTGCAGTGAGCTGAGATCTTACCACTGCATTCCAGCCTGGGCGACAGAGTGAGACTCTGTCAAGAAAAAAAAAAAAAAAAAAAAAAAAAAGGAAGTGGCCGTGAAGCCACAGTGGGAAAGGAGTCCAGGTGCTGCTTGCTTCTGTCTTCGCTTGCGGTATCTGCTGTCCCAGGACCCCCAGGCCCTCCCCAGAGCGCCTCCACTCAGGCCAGATCACCCACTCCCTGCACATCCTCAGCCTTCCTGCCACGGGCCCTGCCAGGGCAGTTTCAGGGGCAAGGATCTTACCCACAAACCAGGGAAGTCCAACCCTTTACTAGGAGTGAGGGCAGGAGACAGCCTAGGCCATGTGACCTGGGCACCAGGGACAGCCTGAGACTGTCCAGACAGCGGCCCTCCTGGCCTGCCTGGGCTCAACGATGCTGATATCCCACCCCACGAAGCCAACGTGACAGCAGCCATCCATCACCAGGCTCCTGCACATGGGCCCTGGGAGGCATGTCCACTCTCCTCACTGCCTGCGGATCAGGGACCTTGCTGCCACAGAGCTCTAGGTTTCCTGGCTTTCAGTTCATCTTCTTCCGATGTGCTCATGGCTGAGTGGCCTTGGCCCCCCTACCTGCTCCCAGCTAATCCACTTATCCCCTTCAGTATCCCCTCAGGACAAAGAGCATGTGCTAGGTGCTGTGAGGGGTCAGAGAAGGTGGACATGATGGAAGTGACAGGAGTGGGGTAAGGGAGGCAGTCGCCTTTGAGAGGGGCCTGGAAGGTGGCACAGGGCATCAGTAGCTGGGATGATAGGAGAGGGCAGGTCAGGCAGAGACCTGCAGGTGCAAACGCACAGAGGCAGGAGAACACACTCCATGACTGGACACCTGCTGACTGCTTTCCCAGCTCCAGCTCCTCTTTTCCCAAAATAACAGCCCCATTTTCTTTGGAGATCCACTCTTGTTCCATAGTAAGCTATGTGGTTTGAGTGGAAATGACCCCTACCAGCTTCAGGGATGGACCCTGATTGGCTTAAACCAATGCTATCTCCTGCCCTGGCTCTGGTGATTGGTTTGAGATGGGCATGTGGGCCAGCCACTGAGGTCCCAGGAGACATTCCCCAGGGCTTTTCAAGAGAGGAGGCATCTTTCCCCTGGAAGGTGTGGGGTGAGGATGTGAGGGCTGTGCTGCTGCAGTCATCCCAGTACCAAGACAGGGAGAGTGTAGAGATGTTAGGGGATGCCCTGGGGAAGCCGAGGATATGGCCAACACCAGGGAAGACAGAGCAGAACAGCGAGCAGGGTAGCTCCAGAGTGCTGTTGTCTGAGCCAGCGCATCAGGCTTTGCCTGAAGTCAGCTGTACCTTTGGGATTTTCAGTTGCAAGTCAATAACATCCACTTAGTAAATGTGTTTAAGTCTGTGTGAGTCGAGTTTTCTTTCATACTGCAACCAAAAGATTGTTAACTGAGAATCCAGTTTGGCTGGAGTGAAGGAAACATGAGGAGAGGTAAGAAGACAAGACTGGGAAGACAGATCAGGAACATTTTACCATGGGACTTGAATGACAGGTTGGGGAACTACTATTTATTTCTATAGGCATTGGGGAACCATCACAGGCTTTTTAGCAGGGGAGTGGCTTCCTAAAATCCTAAAATACCATCTGAATTAGGCCTCACCAATCCCTACTTCCCACCTCTCCAGCTCCTTCCCCCCAGAGTTAAGCAGTAGAATCAGGTTTGCAAGAAATAATAAATTGTTCACACTTCATGACCTGCAGGGCCACTTTGCCTGGAACGAGTTCCGGGAATTTCAACGGAAGCCTATGGGGTGGGAGTCCCCACCACAAAGAATGGAGGCTCCAAAGGGCAAGTTTTTGACTATTCCGTTCAGTAGTGTACTCTTGCACAACAGTGACTGGATGTATATGTGCTCAATTAATTTCTGCGGATGGATAAATGAATTCTCTAGAGGTCTCTAGAGGTGGTGGTGGGGTTAGGAAGCAGAGTCCGGAGGTTAGGAAGCCGAGTCCGCAGAGGGACAGCCTCTGTGGAGCGCCTGGGGCTGTCCACGGTGCTGAAAGCGTGCCACGTCCAGGACCGCTATCTGTGGAGCGCCTGGGGCTGTCCACGGTGCTGAAAGTGTGCCATGTCCAGGACCGCTATCTGTGGTGCTAAAACAGAGTTCCCAGCTAGCTACACAGCCCATCCATGGCAGCTTGGAAAGGGCCCAAGGCATCTTAGGAACAGCGGCGGGAAAGCATACTCCATAACCTTGCCTCCCTTGCTAATCCCATTCCCTGAAGACCTTCTGCACGCATCAGATAACCTGGCACACACCCAAGCGTGCCTATTTCCTGATGGTGACCCTGTCCCTGGTGTGGATATCCATCTGGCCTCGGGTACCCAAGTTCTCCAGGGTGTGGGTCCCTGAAGGGCTCATACGTCAGCTCCTATTCAGCCGGCCTCTGCTAGGGACCCTGGGAGAAGCAGCCAGGCAGAGTAGGGCTCTGGGAAGTCAGCCGGAGAGAGAGGCTGCAAGCCAACAGCATTCACTGGAGGGCCTGGCAAGAGGCTCCTGTCCTCACCGGCTCATGGGCACTGCCAGGCAAGGTGCCTGTGCTAGAAGACAGTACACAGAGGGAGGGGTGGCTGCTCTGTGATGGCAGATGAGATGGCAGGGGCAAGCTGGAGACAGAAGTTGGCACTGTGAGAGTGAGGTATGGGAGTGGGGCTGGGGAACTCCACAGCATGGAGTTTAAAGGGGCTATGGGAGCAGCAATGGGGGTGAGGGACTGGGGAGGGAGGAAAGGCAATTTCACGGCACAGTGAGTCTGGTGAGAGGGAAGGCACCCTCGTCAGACAGGGACAAGTTGTTCCTAAATGCAGACTCACACATACACAGAGACGGGGTATCAGGTTGTTCCGTCTGGCCTGTGCGCTGGCTCTGGCAGGGACTTCCTCTGACATCAGAGAGGAAGATGCCTCCTAACGTTCTAATTTTGCCCAAGAACTAGTTTGGCTCTGCCATCCATGAACTTATCTAAACCTTTCTGGAAGCAATTTATATTTCCAGCCTGTATCACCTCTAGGGGAAATGATTTTCAAAGTTTATTCCCTGCTGAGTGCAGCAGGATTTCCTGTGATTGGTTTTAAACATACCTCTCCTGAGCTTTGCTGGGGGCTGGGGGAGCGGTTCGCTCTGTCAGGCTGGGGCATAGTGAAGGAGCCCAAGCTCCCTTCTCCGAGCCCTTTCTGATTTCCTAGATCTCTGCCACACTCCCTCTTGGCCTCTCTCTGATTGAGGCTGTCCCAGGTGGGCCAGTCTGATTTTCTATGGCAGCTCCCTTCTCATCGCAACTCTTTCCATAACCACTCACGGTGGCACTGAACTTTACAGGTGCCTACACACTGTCGTCTCTGTGAGATCTCAGCTGCTGTCGCTCCCCTGTGGAGCAGGCCCCCAGGGATCGCTACTTCCATTTCACAGATGTGCAAATTGAGGGAAATGAATTATGCAGATCATATAAGTCTGTAATACAATCCAGTTCTGCCCCATCTCGGGCTGGGCTCCCCTGAGGAGGCGTGACCACAAGCATGCTGGATGGTTGGGTACTGGCATCCCTCACTCACCTGTTGGGAGAAGAACATCTATGGCTTGCTGCAATCTCCCCTTCGCATCATGTCCAGCCTGCTGTTGCCCTCCTGGGCCCTGCCTTAGGAAAGCTGCCTTCCCCCAGACTTCGTCCATATCATTCTCCCCAGACTAAAGCCTGCTGGCCATTCTCTGTCCAGCTCACTGCCTTTCTAGATAAGATCTTCCTAAAGCTCATCCCTCACCAGTCTGGCATTTTACTACCACCCAGGAGAGTTTCGATTTAACTGCAAACTTGGTGATTTCACTATACACATCCTCTTCCAGATCTTTTATTTAAATGTTAAAAAAGATTAGCTCCAATTCTTGCCTGAGCTCACATCTTCCACTTCTCTATCCAGAAGACTGTTTATTCATCCAGGCCTTTTGTTTCATTTCTTTGTCAGCTCCTTATCAATGAGAAAACAGTTGCTTCAAATTCCAGATGAATCTGTTAAGACACTTAGACAGGAGACCTACACCCCAGAATACTTAGGATGTGCACATCATTTCAGGACACACACACACACACACACACACACACACACATCCTTTATCAAAGGCATCCATTTGCACAGATGCTGGTACCTCTACACTCATGCTCAGGTGCACAAGAGTTCACACCCACGCCCACACTTCTTCCTCACTGGCACACCTGCACGCTGGGGAGGGATTTGGAGCTACCCTTTGAAGGGCCCATTGGTTTCATGTGTTTGACAGGCGGGAAGGGGCCGGAGCCAGGCAGGAAAATGCCAGCACAGGGAGCGATGAGTCGGAGGCTCTGGAGCATCTGGAACTGTTGGGAAGGAATCAGGGAATTTCCTGAAATTTGGACAGGATGGTTACAGAATCCGGGATGGGGATTTCTCCCAGCCACAGGCAGGCCCCCTCTGGGAACCTTCCTGGGAGACACACACACTGGACTGGGCAAGCGGCCTCTGTTCAGACTTAGACAGAGGCAGGCCTGGCAGGTGGCCCTGAGCCCCCAGGGCCTGCTTTCCGAGCCTGCAGGAAGGTCACCTTCACCCATGGGCATATATCTCCTCAGTCACACCAGTGCCAATGTTCACCTCCAGGTGTACAAGCCAGCCCCTGGCCGGAGGCCCCATTCCCAGGCTGATGGGATGTGAGAACACATGGCACTTTAAGAAGCCACCCTGAGGCCACCTCTCTCCCTGGCCTCGCTGCCTGCAGAGTGCAGGGGTTGCCCACAGTGCCAGGAGTTTCTGAATGCTTTCATGGAGCTTGTGGCTGCACTCAGGCATGTGTCTCCCACAGCCACCTGGCACAGGATGGGCCCAGCCTGCCAGCTCCTCTGGCCCAGCTATGGGGATAAGAAGAGTGAGGCTGGTCCCTGCAGGAGCCGACAGTGCACACGTTGCTCCTCTAAGAACTGGGAGGGAAGGGAGAGGGACAGTGGCAGATTGAGTTGTAATCAGGGACACCATCTCCTAGCACCAGGAGACAGCTTCTCCCTGGGAGGTGGGGCAGGCTCAGACTCCTGCAGCGACCCAGGGAAAGGGAGAGAGAGAGGGAGAGGGAGAGGGAGAGGAGGGAGAGAGAGACAGAGAGACAGAGAGAGAGAGAGAGAGAGAGAGAGAGAGAGAGAGAGAAGACGGGACGTGGGAACCTGCAGAGAGTAGAGGGAGGTAGGAGGGCACTTGTGCCACTAGGTAAATATGTCTCTCGGCAAACAGAGCCCTGCTCCTTCCACATCTGTCCTGCTGCCTGGGAGTTCTGAAACCAGATCCCTCTTATTCTCTTTTTCGTCCTTTCCTGGCATTTTTCTTCCCCTTAGGGTCCTCACAGGAGAATGCTCCATAGAAAACTCTTTAAATGAATGGCCCCTCCTGGGCCCTGGGGAATAAATTAGAGTTCAGAAGTGATGGCCAAAATGGGGGAAGTAATCCCGGGAAGACAGGGAGACAGATCGGTCCAGCTGGGCGGCTAATGCCAACCATGCATCTCGGTAGGGCTGGGGAACTGGGAGCCACTTCTCCTGTGCAGACAGGACAGGGACGGGCAGGGGGCCCTGTCTCAGCTCCTTTGTTCTCTTCCATACTCCCGGCAGTGTGTAATTATTTAATTTCTTCATTGGTTCACTGGTGCACTGCATCCCCTCCACTGGAGTATCAGCTCCTGGAGGTCACACACACAGCTCCGCGGTGCTCCACCTCCCCAGTGCCAGCTTAGAGCCCAGCACAGATGCGGCACTCCACAAACATTTACTGAAGACCTAAGTTGATGAATGAGAGAATAAGAGGCTGTGTGACTGGGCCGGGTGCGGTGGCTCACACCTGTAATCCCAGCACTTTGGGAGGCCGAGGCGGGCAGATCATGAAGTCAGGAGTTTGAGATCATCCTGGCTAACATGGTGAAACCCCGTCTCTACTAATACAAAAATGAGCTGGGCGTAGTGGTGGGCGCCTGTAGTCCCAGCTACTCGGGAGGCTGAGGCAGGAAAATGGCGCGAACCCAGGAGGTGGAGCTTGCAGTGAGCGGAGACCGCACCACTGCACTCCAGCCTGGCGACAGAGCAAGACTCCGTCTCAAAAAAAAAAAAAAGAAAGAAAAAAGATAAAAAAAGAGGCTGTGTGACTGAGCTAATGAGTGCAGCCACAAAGGGCAGAGACTCATGGGCTATGCTTGAACCTGTCAGGGAGAGGAAGCTGGGGTCCTGCAGGTGCCTAGGGAGGCCCCACCTGAGTCCCAGGCCATGGCCTAAAGATTGTGGGCTGGCGTGGACTGGATAAAGAACATGTGGTACATATATACCATGGAATACTAAACAGCCATAAAAAAGAATGAAATCATGTCCTTTGCTCCACATGGATGCAGCCGGAGGCCATTATCCTAAGTGAATTAATGCCGGAAGAGAAAACCATGTTCTCACTTAAGTGGGAGCTAAATATTGAGTACACATGGACACACAGAGGGAAACAACAGACACAGGGCTTACTTGAGGGTGGAGGGTGGGAGGAGGGTGAGGACGGAAAAACTACCCATCAGGCACTGTCCTCACTACCTAGGCGACTAAATCACTTGTATGCCAAACCCCAGCACACACAATGCACCCATGTAACAATCCTGCACACGCACCACCTTGAACCTAAAGTAAAAGTTGGAAGGAAAAAAAGATTCTGAGTTGGGTTCCTCTCAACTCCAACTTGGCCTCGGCCTGAGAGGGTCTTGCTGTTTCCTGACCTTGGCCAGCTACCTGCATCCTGGGTTTGAGAGTGGCTACCACACGTGCCAGTCCTGTGTGTGGCACTGGGGAGGGAATGGAGGATTTAAGAAGGCATGAGCCTCCTTTCGTTCCTCCTCTGCCCAAGGGCTGACCAAGCCCTGGCCATCCAGTTCTGTCCCTGCCTCCACCTCTGCCTGTCATGGCCTCGTCAGTCCTCATTTGGAGGACTCATCTGGAGATCATCTGGAGTCCTCATTTGGAGATCACTCGAGTACCAACGGCTCCCTCTTGCCCAACCAGCTTCAGCTTGCCACTGCCATCCTTCTAAAACTCAGATCTGAGTCCACTGCTTTCCTGATTGAAAATCTTCAGCAGCTCCCTACCATCCCTAGAATGGCTCAACACCCCTTGGTGTGCCATGAAGGGCCTTGTATAAGGTGGACCCAACTTAGCTTCCCAACCTGAGCTTCCTCCACCATTACATGGTCATAGCAGCAGCGGCAGCTGAGGGGTCCTGTGTTCTCACCACACACCACACAGGGCCTTCTCTGATCCTCTCATCCTAGAGGCTAGGTGACTGCTGTCCCCATCCTTCAGATGTGGAAAGTGAGGCATGATTCAAGCAGATAAGTGACTTGCTCCAGGGTGAACAGCAATAGAAGCAAAAAGAATTACTACGAGAGCTAGCTTGGATCAGGCGTGGACTTTGCTCCTGCCATTGTCCTAAGCATTTCACAACTGTCACCCCATTAAGTCCTCACTCCAGCCCTGTGAAATCAGACTGCCAGCCAAACACCTGACTTCTCCACAGCTCATTTACTGCATCTCTAAAACGGGAGCATAATAACGGCACCTCCTCCAAACTCTGCATTGAGGCTTCAGTGAGAAAGTGTGAGGCCAGGCATGGTGGCGCACGCCTGCAATCCCAGCACTTTGGGAGGCTGAGCTGGGTGGATCACCTGAAGTCAGGAGTTCGAGACCAGCCTGGCCGACATGGTGAAACCCCGTCTCTAATAAAAATACAAAAATTAGCCAGGCGTGGTTGCAGGCACCTGTAGTCCCAGCTACTCGGGAGGATGAGGCATGAGAATCACTTGAGCCAGGTAGGTGGAGGTTGCAGAGAGCCGAGATTGCACCACAGCACTCCAGCCTGGGCAACAGAGTGAGACTCTGTCTCAAAAAAAAAAAAAAAAAAAAAAAAAAAAAGAGAGAGAGAAAGTGTGTGAAAGTGAAAGTGCTTAGGAGAAAATAAGGTTGGTACCTGAGGAGGGACCAGCTTGAGTGGGCTTTGGGAAGATGGTGGGTACAGCAGTGGGGATGGGTGGGTTGAGAGCAGACAGATGAGGACTTCAGTCAGGAAGCAGCGGCCAGGGGTCAGCTCTGGGAGGTGGAGGTGGGCAGGAGACGAGGAGACAGGTGTGAGGTCACTGTGCTTATGGGGAAGCCCCGCTCTGGGCACTGCAGGAGGGTCCAAGGTGGTGCACAGCAGAGCCGAGTGGTGGCGAGAGGGCCTGTCAGGGAAAACCAGCCCAGCCCACGGCTAGGCCCCTTCCATGGGGCAGAAAGAGGGGCCAGCCCAAGGCTTGCCTTCCTAAGGAATGGAGCCCCCAGGTCACACCTGGATGCGTGCTGGCCTTGAGCATTCCTGCGCAGAGAAGGCCAGTATCCCCGCTGTGTTGGGTAAAATGTGATGAACAAAAGGGGTGCCAGGTCCCTGGCATTGGAGCCCTGGCCCCAGGGACAGGGAGAGGGGCCCTGGGGGTTCCATACAGCTGCCTGGAGTTACCAGCTGCAGCCCCATAAATCGAGCCCTGGCCCGGGCTGGCAGTCCATTAACATGAAAGATTTTATCACACTTTACAACCTCCCTGTCTTGTATGGCGACAGCAGGTAATTAAAACAATAATTGTTTTCTGATGTTGCTTCTGCAGAACGATAAAAGCTTCTAGTTATTTTCCTTTCACTGGGGTAGGTGAGGGAGGGGTTTGACCCGAGGCACGGAGGTGGGGGGTGGGGCAACAGAAGGATGAGGAACGGGCTTCTGTGTGGCCACCACAGAGCGAGGCTGCAGGAACTGGGCAAAGGCCTGATCACCTCCCATCTCACACACACACACACCAGCACACACACACGCCGGCACATACACACAGGCCAGCACACACACACCCACACACACGCCGGCACATACACACACGCCAGCACATACACCCACACACACACCAGCGCACACACACACGCCAGCACACACACATGCCAGCACATACATGCCAGCGCACACACACGCACACACACATGCCAGCACACACACGCCAGTACACACACACCTACACACACGCCAGCGCACACACACCAGCACACCCACACATACATGCCAGCACACACACGCGCCAGTGCACACACATGCCAGCACACACTCCCACACACACCAGCACACACACACAAATGCACACGCCAGCGCACACACACACACGCCAGCGCACACACACACCAGCATGCACACACCAGCACGCGCACACACACACACACACACCAGGACACATGCACATGCACACACACCAACACCCACACACACACATGCCAGCACACAGCAGCACACACATACGCCGGCACACACACACCAGCACACACACACGCACAACACACACACACACATGCCAGCACACAGCAGCACACACACGCACTGGCACACACACACCAGCACACACACGCACAACACACACACACATGCCAGCATACAAGCAGGCGCACACCGCACCCATGCCCCATGGAGGCACATCCTCCAGCCCAGGCTTTAGCGCACTGTGAGCTGCTCTGGAGAGGGCCACCCTGCTTGGGAGCTCCTGGGAAGGGAGTAGAGGGTCCCCAGCCAAGACGACTGGCAACAGCTGAGACCTGGCGGAGGTGGTCTGTCTGAAGGCCTAGGGAGCCCCTTAGAGCGGTTCTCATGGCACCCAGAGAGGAAGGTGACAGGGACAGGCTTTAAAGAGTAAAAGTTTTGTGACTAGCCTGTCCAACATGGCAAAACCCCATCTCTATTAAAAATACAAAAATTAGCTGGGCATGGTGGCACACCCCTTTAATCCCAGCTACTCGGGAGGCCAAGGTGGGAGAATTGCTTGAACCAGAGAGGTGGAGGTTGCAGTGAGCCGAGATCACGCCACTGTACTCCAGTGTGGGAGACAGAACAAGATTCCATCTCAAAAAAAAAAAGGAGCAGTGATGTGGAAGTGAGAGGGTTGGAGGCCTGTGGTAATGAACCAGCCCCGTGGTAATGAACTTGTACTTCCCAGGTGTAGAGAAGCCTGGCACACCCAAGGTGGCCTGCCTGGGGACTTGAGGGACTGATTCAGGGATGATAGGATGCCCAATATGGCAAGGGAGTCTTCTGTGCCCCGTGAACAATCATCCACCTTCCCTCCCATTGATCCATCCATCCATATATCTACTTGTCTATCTACCCATCCATCCACCTCCCACCCATCCACCCACCCATCCATCCACCTACTTTATCCATCCATCCATCCATCCATCTTTCATACGTCCACCCATCCATCCAACCACCCATCCATCCACCCATCCACCCACTTTATCCATCCATCCACCCACCCAACCATCCACCCACCCACCCAACCATCCACCCACTTTATCCATCCATCCATCCATCCATCCATCCATTCATCTTTCATACATCCACCCATCCATCCACCCATCCACCCACTTTATCCATCCATCCATCCATCCATCCATCCATCCATCCATCCATATTTCATACATCCATTCATCCATCCACCCATCCACCCACTTTATCCATCCATCCATCCAGCCACCCATCCATCCACCCATCCATCCATCCATCCATCTTTCATACATCCACCCATCCATCCAACCATCCATCCATCCATCCATCCATCCATCCATCCATCCATCCATCCATCTTTCTTTCTTTTTTTTTTTTTTTTTGAGATGGAGTCTCGCTCTGTTGCCCAGGCTGGAGTGCAGCAGCGCGATCTCCGCTCACTGCAATGTCAGCCTCCCAGGTTCAGTTCAATTGATTCTCCTGCCTCAGCCTCCTGAGTGGCTGGAATTACAGGCGCACCACCACACCTGTCTAATTTTTGTATTTTTAGTAGAGATGGGGTTTTACCATGTTGGTCAGGCTGGTCTCGAACTCTTGACCTTGTGGTCCGCCCACCTCGGCCTCCCAAAGTGCTGGAATTACAGGCATGAGCCACCGCGCCCAGCCCCCATCCATCTTTCATACCTCCACCCATCCACCCATCCACCCATCCACCCAGCCATCCAATCACCCATCCATCCATCCATGAACGAGCAGTGAGCATGAGCAGGCCATAGTCCCTGCCCTCAAGAAGCGTGTGTTTTAACTGGGGGTGGTACAGAACATAAACAAGTAAGTAAGTCAAGAAAGTCATCTCCAATGTGGATAAACGCCATGAAGAAGCTAAAGCAGAGAGTGACAGGCTGCTACTTGAGGTTGGAGGCCCAGGGGGAACCTCGCTGAGGAGGCGATATTTGAGTGAGGCCAAACAACCCAGGGAAGCCAGGGGAAGATGGGGGGGCTGAGGCTTCTGGGCCTCCGTGCCCTCAAGGGACTCTTGGGTCCCCTGATTCCTACTCCCTGGTCCTGCCACCTCCAGCCCCATGCCCAGGAAGCGCAGGGTGGGCACAGGTGGGTGTGGAGTGGTGACTCCCCACACTGATGCCATGAGTGACATCACACTCGGGGCTCCCTCACCCCCACTGCCCCCCAGGTCTGCAGCAAATCACCCTGATGCTTTAAAACAAATACCTCTTAATCACTAAAAATTGAAATGATTTCATGTGAAAATGTTAATGTATTCGGAATCACAGCCGCGCACTGCGTCTGACAAATTAGCACCCAGCCTGCCGCATTGTTTGTAGCCGCATTTATCCTGGTGACAAGACACACACACAAAACGGCAGCACAGAGGGGCAGAGAGGGCAGCTCCTGGCTGGGGGTGGGTGTGGAGGAGGGGGAAGGAGGACAAAAGGGGGCTTGCAGAGGGAAACAGGGTCCACAGGGTCCGAGAGGGCTGAGAGAGGCCCAGACCCGCTCTGACCCTACAGCTAGCTGCACCTCTGGGGGCTCCCAGCTGCTTGGTCTCCTCTCCGGTCCTCTGTTGCCAATCTTGAACCACGAGACCTACACCAGGCTAACCTGGTGGCCACGCACAGATTCAGGCACCAGCAAAGCAGGAGCACCAAGACATGAGAAAAATGTTTGCAAGAATTTAACACTTCAAATATAAGAATCAGGACATGGAGAAACTGGAACCCTCGTTATTGCTAGTGAGAATGTAAAATGGTGCAGTTGTTAAGGAAAATAGTTTGGCAGTTCCTCAGGAAGTTCAACATAGTTACCGTATGACCCAGCAATTCCACTCCTAGGTGTATGCCCAACAGAACTGAAAACAGGTCTTTAAACAGATACTTGTACCCAAATGTTCAAAACAGCTTATTCAGTCGCCAAAAGGTAGAAACGACCCAAATGTCTACCAATGGGTGAATGGATAAACCAAATGTGGTCCATCCATACAATGAAATATTATTTAACCACAAAAAGGAATGAAGGCTGGGCATGGTGGCTCACACCTGTAATCCCAGCACTTTGGGAGGCCGAGGTGGGTGGATTATTTGAGGTCAAGAGTTTGAGATCAGCCTGGCCAACATGGTGAAACCCCGTCCCTACTAAAAATACAAAAATTGGCTGGGCGTGGTGGTGCATGCCTGTAATCCCAGCTACTCGGGAGGCTGAGGCAGGAGAATCGCTTGAACCTGGGAGGCGGAGGTTGCAGTGAGCCAATATTGTGCCACTGCACTCCAGCCTGGGCGACAGAGTAAGGCTCTGTCTCAAAAAAAAAAAAAAAAAAAAAGGAATGAAGCAGTGATGCATGCTTTCATGCTACAACACGGATGAACCTGGAGCACATTATGCTAAGCGAAAGAGGCCAGGCACAGAGGACCACAAATTACATGATTCCATTTACATGAAATATCATAATAGACAAGTCCGTAGAGACAGAAAGCAAGTTGCTGTTTGCCAGGGGCTGGGGCAAGGGGAGAATGGGGAGTGACTGCTTAATGGGGTCTCCTTTGTTCTGATGAAAATGTTTGGGCCGGGCGCGGTGGCTCACGCCTGTATTCCCAGCACTTTGGGAGGCCGAGACGGGCAGATCACGAGGTCAGGAGATAGAGACCATCCTGGCAAACACAGTGAAATCCCGTCTCTACCAAAAATACAAAAAATAGCTGGGCATGGTGGCGGGCGCCTGTAGTCCCAGCTACTCGGGAGGCTGAGGCAGGAGAATGGCGTGAACCCGGGAGATGGAGCTTGCAGAGAGCCGAGATCGTGCCACTGCACTCCAGCCTGGGCAACAGAGCAAGACTGTCTCAAAAAAAAAAAAAAAAAAAAAAAAGTTTGGAAACTAGATAGAAGTGATGGTCGCATAACATTGTGAATGTACTCAATGCCAATGAATTGTGCACTTAAAACGGTTAATTTTATGTTACGTGAATTTCACCTTGATTAAAAAATGGCAAAGAAGAATTAAAAAAATGGAAAGAAAAAATATATATGCATCAAAGTCCAACTTCATCGGTTGGACTAAGCTCATTTTACCAGTTACTGTTTGATCCTGGGGTTGCTGAGGCCTGCGAAGGGTGGAAGTAGCCTGCCTGGCCTGCTCCCTGCGCCCTCCCATGGCTTCTACCCTTGCCCCTGTCCCAGGCCTCAGGATCCGCTCCATGATAGCCCAGGCCCAGTCATTCTTCCCATTTCATAGATGGGGCAGAAGAGTGTATCTGGCCTGGGCTTGTGCTGTAGCAGCAGAGCAGGTCTGGGAGCCAGGCCCCCTCCGACCAGCTAACCCTAGCAAATGTGCCCTCAGCCCCTCCTGCTGTGCGTCTCTGGAAGCAGAGGTGGCTTCTATGCATGTATAAATGAACACAGACACAAGTCATCACACCTCTCCTCACCCAGCTCCACATTCCCTGTGACCAGACCAGAGTAGGCCCTTTGCTGCACCCGCAGCCTGCTCCTTCTGTCATTCAGGTCTCAGTTCAAGTGTCACCTCTTCCAGGACTGTCCTGTCTCACTGGCTACCCAGCATGCCCCTGCTTCCAGCTCCCTCATGGTCACACGGCCCTCATGCTCATCTGTGGCACCTGACGCCGGGCCTGGCGCCAGCAGGTGCTCAATAAATGTTTATTTAATGGCTCAGGTGCCATTGTCACCTAGCTTTGTCCCTCAGCCCATCCCCTCTGCTTCTCTTAAAAGCTTTATGAGGCTCTGGACCTTCTGCCCATTTTGCTGCCATGGAGCTGGGGCTGGCACCTAGCTCTGCCATGGTAGCTGTGGGATGTGGGCACGTCACTCACCTCTGAGCTACCCATCGAGAGCTTTCGTGCAAGTACATCGCCAGTGCTCAGCAAGTATGCTTGTCCTGCCCTCGCCCCCCTTTCCCAAGTTTCTCCCTGAAACCTTCACTGCATCCTGTGCCTTTTCTACCTGGTATCCTTCCATGCTCTGCAGATTCCAAATGGCCTCTGTGTCCTGTCTGTCTACACTGTTCACACTGTCCCAGTTCACTCCTGCTGCTTCTGAGCACAGCGTCCTCCGGCCGCTCTCCCTGCCTCCTCCCAGCGTGTCCTCCAGGCCTCATCGGCGGGTCCTTCGCCAAAGCCTTCCTCAAGGCTGCCTCCCCTCCTGCTCAAAACCTTACACACACTCCTGGGCCCCTACTGCTCTCTCCCGGGCCCCCTTTTGGCTTCCTCAAAATTGTCCCCTGAATCCTCCTTTCCACCCCAGCCATGGCCATTCCCTAAT
This sequence comes from Homo sapiens, assembly GCF_000001405.40. NCBI lineage: Eukaryota > Metazoa > Chordata > Mammalia > Primates > Hominidae > Homo > Homo sapiens. The sequence continues at coordinate 176,825,227 of NC_000005.10, read as the reverse complement.
CATCCTCTTTGAATGGGATTCGAGCTCATGCATGTCGGTGATCAGCTCCTTATGAAAGGGTCTCTCAACTCCACTTCCCACCCTTATTGCATCTGAAAGTGCCACTCCCAGTTTCCAATTATCTTTTAGATGTTTCCACCTGACTATCCTCCACCACTTCAAACTGAACAGGCGAAATCTAAGGCCCCAAATGCAGACTCCAAGAGCTGGGAGGGAGGGAAGGAGAGGGATGGCCCTGCCCATGGCCTCAGTACCTGACACCCACCAAGCACTGTGCACAGGGTGGGGAGACGCAGCCTTGGTGTGCACGGGAGCGGGGGTGAGTGGCAAAGAGAGGGCAGTGCGCAGGCACTGGGGGTGCATGGGGTGGGGGATACGGAGTGGTGAGAGTGCCTGGGACAGAGAGTACACAAGGTAGGGGGTACACAGAGCAGGGGGCACACAGGTGGTGGGGGTGCACAGGGCAGGGAGTGCACAGGCACTGGGGGTGCATGGGCATGGAGGCACCTAGCAGTAGGGGGTGTTCATCTGCCAAAGTGGCATCCAGGTTCCAGCCCCAGCCACCCAGGAAAATGGGCTTGCTGGGCCCAGCCCAGATCTTTTGCTTTTTCAAGAGAAGCCTGACATTTGGATTTTTATGTGAATTCTCTCTCTTTCTCTCTTTTTTTTTTAGAATGTTCTATCTGCCGCGTGGGGGCTAAATGCCCTGCCTGCTGCCACCTTGCTACCTCTGGGTGGGCGCTTTGCTCACATCATCATCTTTCTCCTAAGATCCTCGGTCAGGCCCCTTTCAGGTGCAGGACACAGAAACCCAACTCACACGGGCGTTAAAGCGGGAAGTTTGTGGATCTAGGGCCAGGAAGGCTGTTAACAGCAGCTCACAGGACTGAGAAAAGCTGCAGGGACCAGAGCCTCAGGGCCTCGGGGCCACTGGGACAGCCTCCTCCCTCCGCTTGTCCCTGATCTCCCTGTGCGCTGGCCTCACCCGCCTCAGCCCCACGGCCGCTTTCCACACATGGGGGAAATAGTCCTGGGCCAGTGTCGGAACCTGCATCATTGCTGCCTCCAACCCGGGAGGCATCGGGGCCGCACCTCCGCCTCCAGGCGGGAGAAGCCCTGGCAAGGATCCTGACTGGCTCAACCCAGGCCATGTGGCCAGCCTGGCCCAATCATGTGCCCAGGATCTCCGGGACCATTCGCCAGCTGGGACAGGTGCTTTCTCCAGGGAGAGGCTGGGTTCTCATAACTGACAGTCCCACCAGGGCCCCATGGCGGGAGGTCGCCAAAGGAGGGTGGAGGTGCTGTGCCCTGAGAAAGTATTTCAGCAGTTAAAACAATGGGCGGCAGAGAAACTACCAACCCCCTCGAGATGGAGCCATCCGTCCAGAAAGCCCAGTTCTCAAAGGGTAAGAAACTTCTCAAGACCAAATAGGGTGGAGCTGAGAGGAGTCCAAGTCAGTATCCAGCCGTCCTTTCCCTTTTCCCACCGAGACTCACCGAGGCCACCTGCCCCTGTCCAGGGTCTCCCTGACTGTCCCATAGAGCCCCCCTGTGGAGGCTCTCATCGTGCCCAGACCTCCGAGCCTCTGCTTGCTGGGAGGGTCTCCCTCAGCCTCCCTGTGTCTCTCCCTGCTGATACCGACCTACCCCGTAGGGCTTCACAGAACCAAGTAAATCCACCTTTCCCGGACGGCTTTCAGTGCCCTAAAGGAAACCGGATGGCCCCAGCACCACCAGGACCTGTTGGACGTCTCTCCTGGGCCACGGCTGGCTTTAAGTCTGCCCTTCGCCCCCAGTGCCTGCCTGACCCGGAAACGCTGTTCCGCTCCCTTGGCTTCACGTGACCAGAGCCAGTTTCTGTTGCTTGTGACCCAGGCGCCCTGTCCACACTCTGCACATAGCCTGGCAGGGTGGAGCTCCCTGGGCGGAGCCTCTTGCTCTTTCAGCTTCTCCCCCAACCCAGCTCCCCATCTATTTTCTGTTTCTGACATCACTTCCCCAGGCTCCAGAGCTCTGAATCATGTTTGCCTCCTCCCCCTCCCTCGCCCCCCCACATGCAGCATCCAGATGCAACATCTCCCCCTTTGCAGCGTCTCCCACATCCATCTCTCTTACTCCATCCCTGCTGTCTGCCCGCCATCAGGGAGGGACGCCTCGTCATTTCTTGCCTGGATGACCACGGCAGCCTCCCGGCTGGTCTCCTTGCCTCCAGCCTCTCCCTGCTCCTATCCATCCTCCATGGGCTGCCAGATTAATCTTCCTTAAACACTGCTCACTGCCTGTCACTCCCCAGCTCAGAGATGTGGTCACAGCCCTGTCGCTTGCTGGCACCCCACAGGCACCGTCTGCTCCAGCGGGGCTGCACGCCTCCCGGCTGCCCTGTACACAGGCTGCCACTGGGATTGCCTGTCCACTCCTTCTCCTCCCCTCATTGTCTGGCCAAATCCCACCACATGCCAAGGTCCCAGCCTGAGTCCCTCTCCTGTTCTGGCCTCAGGGTTCCCAGAACTCTGGGGCAGAGGCAGGGGGTGCCCAGGGACCAGCTCTGAAGTCACAGGTTGGCCTGAGGCCAGCAGGTGGGCTGTCCTTGTTGGGCCTGTCTGGGCTCTCAAATGTGGCTGTGGCCTCTGCCACCTCTCTGCTCTGCATGTCCTGGAGACACACCCGGGCTCTCAGGTGTCAGGAGTCCTACTCAGCCAAGTCACTCTGGTGACTCACCCTTCACCACGCCAACCTTCCTTCTCAGGCCCCCTCATGAATGCTCATTATCCAAGAATGAACACCTTCCCAAGATTCCAGGCCTGCAGGCCCTGCCCTTGACGCCCACTGCTGCTAGTTTCATCAATCGAAGATCCTGCTCAGATTCCAGGCCTGCAGGCCCTGCCCTTGATACCTGCTGCTGCCAGTTTTATCAACCGCAGATCCTGCTCCGCACACCCCTCCACACAAATACTTCCAGGGCGTGTCACAGAGGGGGGCCAAAAGTGAGCATCCCCCGCCCCGCGGGCCACACAGCTCGCACCTGCAGAGCATTTACTGTGAGCCGGCATCAGGCTGCATGCACCACACAGAATGACTCGTTTAATCCTTGCAGCCCTATGAGGTAGGAACCTTTCATTGTCTGCATTTTCCAGGTGAGCAAACTGAGGCACAGAGAGCTTAAATAACCTGCCCAAGTTCACCCAGTTCAGGATTCTAATCCACATCAGAGCCCTGGCTCTTAAGCACAGTCCTCCCAGGTCCTAGCTGACTCTCTACCTTTCGACCTACCAGAGTCTAAAGTCCAGGAGGGAAGCTGTCCCTTCCAGCCTGGGAAGTCAATTAGTCCTGCAGGGGAAGGCCTAACCAGAGTCTGGTGTCCAGGAGGTAAGCTGCCCCTCTCAGCCTGGGAAGTCAATAGGTCCTGCAGGGGAAGGCCTGAGATGCCTTTGTCCACTCCCTGCCTGCGGTCACTTCAGAGGGGGCTGGGAGTGACCTTGGTCAGGAGCAGTGGTGTATGCGGCCAGCTCGTCCTGGCTCAGGACAGCCAATCACTACAATTTCTAGAATTTTTAAGCCAGTTGACATCACATTGGTAGCTTGATATAGGCTGTGGTGGGAGTATTTACACCATGGAAATTGGCAAATTAGTTCCCCAGCCTGCCTGAAGAGCCAACTGTTAACCATTCGACAGGACACCACACTGTTGTGGGAGGAGGCAGAATGCTGACCACTCTCAAGGCGTCCTGGCATTTGGGTGGTGGACTTCAGGAATTCACACCAAAGACGGGCCTCCAGTGGAGCCAGGGGTCTGAAAGGAAAGAGGTCTTGAGACCAAGTGGGTCTCAAAAATGGACCTCTGGTTGTGTGATCCTAAAGGAACTGGAGAAGGAAGGTCCCTAGAAAAGTGCCAGGGCAACTACAAGATATCCAGGTAGGCAGGCTCAGACTCTGACCAGACATGCCCAACATAGAAAGATGGCCCGAAACCAAGGACAAGCCACAGGTGAGAGGCATGGATGGAGGAACCACGCTCGGAAGCAGAGCACAGGTGCAGCGGCGTGAGGCTTGTGGGCAATGCCAGAGAAACACAGGGCAGGGGCGGGGCTTGGAGGAAGGAGCCCAGAAGAGCTGAGCCCTGCTGCTGACATCTGAGAAAGTGGCATGCTGGTGGCTGTGGGGCAGGAGCTGTAGTCTAGTCATCATAAGGAAGCAAGTTTGGTTTGGTGAATGTATCACTTAGGGTTCTTTGAAGGCAAGCAAGAAAAAAACAATTCTCACAAATTTAGGAAAGAAGAAGCACTGGCGGAAGACTGGGTTGTTGAGAGAAGGAACAGAAGCTTAAAGAGCAGGCTCTGCAGCTGGAAAAGAACCAGGTCAAGAGAAATACTTACCTAGCTCACCTGGGCCCTGCTGCTGGGATGAAGGGCCCCCCAAAATACCCCACTAAGACTGGGATGAAAGCTGGACCAGATACAAAACCTAACAAACATCCACTGGAGGTGCCACAGCCCAATGAGCCTTATGCAAACTCCAGGCACGGTTCTAGAAGAGCTTCTCAATCAGCTGCAGATGACCAAAGGAAGGAGGGACCGTGAGAGGCCTGCTGGGATCCCCATGGACCAGTCACGCCAGACCAGCTTCCCTTATTATGGGGTTACTGTCCCACGGTAGATTAAGGATGGACTAGAAACATGGCGTGTCTGGATTCCAGCCAGGCACCGGATAACATATCTTAGATGGCCAAATGCAGATATATGAGCAGATGACAGCACAATGAAGGGCAGGCAAAACCTGCTGAATGGCCAGCCTTGTTTTCTATTTTTTTCTTTCTTTCTTTTCTTTTTTTTTTGAGACGGAGTCTCACTCTCTCACCCAGGCTGGAGTACAGTGGTGCAATCTTGGCTCACTGCAAGCTCCACCTCCCAGGTTCATGCCATTCTCCTGCCTCAGCCTCCCAAGTAGCTGGGACTACAGGTGCCCGCCACCACGCCTGGCTAATTTTTTGTATTTTTAGTAGAGACGTGGTTTCACCATGTTAGCCAGGATGGTCTCGATTTCCTGACCTCGTGATCCACCCGCCTCGGCCTCCCAAAATGCTGGGATTACAGGCATGAGCCACCGTGCCCGGCCCAACATTTTGTATTTTTAGTAGAGACGAGGTTTCACCGTGTTAGCCAGGATGGTCTCGATCTCCTGACCTCGTGATCCGCCCGCCTCGGCCTCCCAAAGTGCTGGGATTATAGGCGTGAGCCACCGCGCCCGGCCTGGCCAGCTGTGTTTTCTAATGCTGCCAATAAAATAGTGTTGATCCAGATCCCGCTTTACTTCTGAGCCACAGGCTGTGCCTGGTGCTATTCAGCATGCTTATTTAATACCTGGCAAAATGTGCTGATGACATCTGAGGATGATTGTGCCCACCCTTCTTGGTGGACAAGAAGCTGAGAGGAGTAGCAAATAGCCTGGGTAACAACAGGACAATGGCCTTGGTGGCTCCGGCCCAACCTAATCTGCATAATCCTACCCTTGTCTATGGTGATTGGCTCACACAACTGGGCAGGGCACTGGAGGTGGACCAATGATGGAAGACTTGGACATTTGTTGGGTGGTGGAGGGCAGAGATGTGCTCTTCTCCCCTATCCCGTGCGGAGCCTGGGCCTGGACCTGTAAGGATGTAGTCCCGGAAGCTCCTGGCAGCCACCTTGGGATAGAGGGAAGAGGCTGTTGGAGAGTGGTGCCGAATCCCCAAGAGCAGAGATGAGGGAAGGATCTTGGCCATACTGTTCTCCCTGGATACAACCATGCCTGAAGCCACAGCCACCCCTGAGTTCAGTTCCATGTGCCATTATGGTCTCCTTCTTCTTCGTTTTCCTTTTTTTTCCTTAAGCCAGTGTGAGTTGGGTTCTAATATTTGCAACAGATACACTTAGTGTCCCATGTCACTTCAAGCTGGGGCATTGTGGCACAGTGTGGTGAGCTCCCAGGGCTGAGGAGGCTGTGACAATTGGGCCACCACCCACAGACAGGTAACAAAGATGTGGGGGGTTGGGATTCAGGCTTGGGGCAATGCTCATGAGGAGCAGCTGAGAGGGCTGGGGAGGGCTGGCCAGGAAAGGGGCAGGTGTGGCCAGGTGGGAGCCCTGTCTTAACCAACTGAAAGGGGCTCCCCCAACCTGTGCGGCCCCAGAAGGAAGGGCCCAGAACCATTTGGGGAGCTTACTGGGAAAGAGTCCCCTTCATTATAAGAAAGTGGTTTTGAACAGTCCCAGTCGCCTGAAGAAGTGTGGCCCGGGCAAGTCCCTTTGGCTTAAAGCTCAGGGCTACGGGTGAGGAAAGCCAACACCACAAGAGGAAGTTAATAATCAACGTCTGGTGGCCTGGACAGCCATTCTCAGGCTGGAAGCACACTAGGTGGGGTCAGGAGGCAGCATGGGGATGGGGAATGGGCTTCAGGCTGTGAGGGAGTTCACTTGAGGCCACACAGAGAATCAGGGTCTCTGGACATTCTCCCATCAAGTCCATAGGATACCAGAGAGGCCCTGGCAGTAAATAGCCACATAGGAGAGCCCACAAGGTGGGTGTGGTGTGTGGTGGGGGAGATCGGGCAGAGTAGTAGCTGCCCAATAAGGTCCCAGCTCTGCCACTTCCTGCGGTGTGACCTCCCCTGATATGTGTCCTCATCTGACGCATGGGGCTAACCTCACCCACCTGTAGGTTGTCCTGAGGTTTTGATCAGATGATGTAGGCGGAGCCCAGATTACTACCATCACCAAGTTAATAAAGAATAAAAAACGTAACAGTCTATAGCCCCCAGGGGCTCCTCCTCTTCCCGCCACACGGTCTCTCCTCTTAGCAGAAGGAGAATGAATTTGGGTGTCAGGGGCTGGAGTGGAGCCCCAGCCTGCAGAGGACAGCCGGGACCTGGGGCAAGTCGGTGCTCGGCCTCATCTGTAAAACGGGAATGGCGACACGGGTGCATCGGAAGCCCCGGCCTGCAGGAGGTGCTCGGGTTATGGGGACGTTCCCCTCCCTTTCGCAGCGAGATCAGCCCGGGGTCTTCGGAAGCCCCAGGCACAAGATCGCCTGAGAAGCCCTGCGCCCACCCACTTCTCAGGGGGCCCGGGAAGGGCGGGCAGGGGCAGGGGCTGCAGCTGGGCTACAGCACGGAGGCGGGGCGGAGGCGGCCGCGCGGCGGTGCCCGGAGGCTGGACGCCCGCTCCCGGGGCGGCAGCCGAGCGCTCAGCCAGGAACTTGTTAACAGGCCCCGAACAAAGAGCCGCTAATCCGGCGGGCGGCCGCGGGCGGGCTGGCGGGCGGAGGCATCCCGCCCCTTCCCGGCTTGGCCGCCGGAGTTTGCAGCGCGTTAATTACCCCGCGCCCGGCTGCCCCGCGGCACCCACCCCCGGCCTGGACGTCCCCGGGCGCGAGCCTCCCGCAGCCCCGCCCGACGGGCGCCGCGGCGAATGGCGAAGCCCCTCTGCCCCGGCTGCCGTGGGCTCGGGCACCCGCGCTCCACGGCAGCTCACGTGCCCCGCAGATCCGCCGGCCTAAGGGCCCTCGCGTACCAAGCTACCTAGACAGCGGGGCGGGGACTGGCGAAGCCAGAGACACGCGCTGAGGAGGGGCTGCTACCCGCCAGTGACGGGCACATTTGTTTGGGCGGGGGTGGGGAGGGGCGGGGTGGGGGGCGGTGCTGGAAAGATGCAGAGCTGGGAAAAACCACTGGCCCCTCGGCTCCACTGGGTCCCTGCCCCGATTAGGAGGGGTAGAGTCTAATTCAGGGAGTACTCCCGTAGACCCCCACAGCCTCTCCAGTGGACCTGCTGGCCTGGGGCGCGGGAGTTCCACCTGCCGCCCTGGCTGGGGACACCTAGGGCCGAGGTGGGATGCAGGGTCCGGACCTCCCTCCCCAAGGCGCTTCAGGTGCTGTCAATCTAGACAGATTCCCCCGGCCTTCCCCCCACCCCCTCCCCATCTCAGCTACATATTTGCCTGGAGCTCAAGGTGACCCTGAGCCTTCCAGACGGACACAGCTCTGATATCCCAGTGTGGGAGAGGCCCGGCTCTGGGGGCCCCACCAGTCAGGGTGACGGCTGGCCCTTGGCGCTCCCACCACAGCACAGAAGCAGGGGCCTCATGGCCCCTCCCCCATCAAAATGCTACCTAAAACTTCCCCTTCCCCAGTTACTCTGGGGCTGAGCAGCTGCCACTCAGACTTCCCAGAGCTCTGTGTGGCTCCCCCTCTCCCACTTCAAACAGGGCTGGGAGGGCCAGTCAAGGACCACCTGCCCTTGCATGACAAGAAACAGAAAGGAAGCCAGGCCTGTCCCCAGCCCAGAATGGGAAGCTCACCTCAGGCCTTTTCCCTCCCTCCTGGCTCCCCAGTCGCTCCGTCTTCCACAAAGACAGCCAAGGACTCCCCCACTTCCCGAAGGAGAGGACTGAACAGTGCCCTCTGCCATGGCATCATCATTGCTAACGTGTATTGAGTGCCCACTATGTGCCAGCACTGACACACTTCAGCCCGTCTAATCTGCACAAAATCCTAGGAGGTGGGTTCTTTTTGAGTCAGTTGTACAGACAAGGAAACTGAAGCCATGCAGGGAGGAGCTGGATGCAGGGCCAGGAGGCGTGCACTCTTGGGGGCTGGCCCTACCTTTGTGCCTAGGCACCTGCCTGGCCTCACCCTAGTACTGGTCCAAACCCAGCCACAGAGCTTGCCAACTCACCCATTTCACTACCTCCTCCATGTGCCTGGGGTTCTGGGCCCCTGGGGTCTGAAGCTGCCTGTCGCACCTGACATCAGTGCCCAGGAAGGGGGTGGGCCTTGGGCACTGGGACCCTGACCTTCTGGACGCCCTGAGAAGGCCTGTTTCTGACATAGGAGTTATTTGCCAGCAGAAGTGGGCCCTCAATTCCTGGCCTAGGGGTTGGGACTCAGTCCCCAGTTCTGCCTCCCAACCACTTTTGGCTCTGCCCCAGCAGCCACCTGGCTCTCCAGCGATGCAGGCAGCCCCTGCCAGGGCAGCTGATGTCTGTGGCAGGTGCTGGGCAGGTGTGAGCAGTTCCTGGGGGAGCCTGCTGCTGAGTGCAGAGTCCACCCCAGGCTCCAATATAGGCATCATTGGGTATACTACACCCTTTAGTATACAGAGAGGCAAACAGCCCAGAGAGGTTAAATGATTTGTCTAAAAGATCACACAGCAATCAAATAGCAGAGAGAGGACTAGAATTTCGTTCTGCTCAGGGCTCCTGCCCCACTCTGTGCCATGTCCTGAGAGTCAGAGATGATCATCAACACACAGTTGCATGAAAAGCTGAGCCCAAATCTTCATCTTCAGAACCTCCAAACAATTGCCCCTTGTGCATTGGAAGCAATGAGTCTGAATCAGGCCCAAGTCCCTGCAGTGGGTGGTGTATGTGTCAATGGCGGGGGAGGGGGGATGCTTCTTCCAACCAGAAGGGGCCCCTGCCTGGGCCTGGGTCAGTGGGAAATGAAGCAGCTCACACTGAGATGCATTTTTCTCCTGTGTCTGGGCTCGGGCCCTGATGCGGCTTAAGTCCCCACCTCTGTCCTAACTCATGCCATCCCCCCACAAATGCGAAGGAACACAGAGGAAGGAGACAGACAAGCTATGGCACCTACTAGGTGTCGGGGTTCACCCTGAGTGCCCTCTCCACATTGCCCATCAATCTGTTACTATAACCCCAGAAAGCAAGCATGACCCATTCTATCAATGTGGAAACAGGCTGGGGACTGCAAGTTGCTTGTCCAAGGACACGAGGCTTGGGTTGGAAGTTGACCCTGACTGCCTCCAAAGCTTAGCCTGTCCTTTCTGCTTCACCTGGCAAGAATACGGGGTGAGACTCCCCAGAAGGCAGGAGGACCCTTCAATGCCACTCCCACAGGAGCAGACAAGGAACGAAGGGGTGGGCTGGTGGAACTGATTGCAGGAAGCTGAGCTCCTGTCTGAGCGTGGTTGGGCCCTGGGGCTCAGCCTCAGGAACCAGGAGTCCCACCCCACGTAGGAGCTGTGCAGAGCAGCCCACGTCTTGACGTGACTCTGTGAATGACACCATTTGCTCAAGAAAACATTCACTCTGGGAAAATCCATGCCAGGGTGGGGATGGGGGTTCCTACTCAACAGACATGGGCATACAACTTGCGTGAGTGGCCCACAAGCATGCACCAATGTGAGCTGGTTTGCTGTCCATACACGTGGCTGGGGCACAGCATCCTCCACCCCAGGATGGGGCCTAGTTTTCCTGGTCCCCACCCTGGACAGGAGGCCGTTTCCAGCTTCCCTGGAGCATGGCAGTCCGTGTTCAGGGACAGGGATGGGATGGTTGCTGAGAGGGGCAGAGCAAACATCTCTCCCTGTCCCCAGCAATAGCAGCCCTCCCTGCCTGCAAAGAGAGCCCAAACTCAAAATGGAGAAATGAAGAAAAACAGCACCTGGCTGGCAGTGACTCAGAGCAAGTTGGGCCAGAGAACAGGGTCACCGCGCCATAAACAATGGCAATACCTGAGGGAGGCACTGGAGGAGAAGGAGGAGGCTCAGGTCAGAGGCTTCTGGCAGCCCCAGGGCTGAGGACTCAATACCTCAGTCTTTCTTTAGCCCACCCAAAGCACATCAGTATGCCAGGACCCCTTTGCAGGGGAGGAGGTGGGAGGCCTTTGGGAGGGGCTGGACTGAAGCTGCGGGTTTCACAGTGCAGGGATTGGCAGCAGCAAAGGGGTGTGTCCCAGGTCTGGACAGAGCCAACGTTGGGGTGTTGGGTGGGGAGCATGCTGGCGGGGTCAG